>NW_003571060.1:0-253362 GCF_000001405.40 Homo sapiens | reverse complement strand
GAATTCCCCATGAGTCCTGTGACCTCAGCCCACGCGGGGACCTACAGGTGCTACGGCTCACTCAACTCCGACCCCTACCTGCTGTCTCACCCCAGTGAGCCCCTGGAGCTCGTGGTCTCAGGTGGGGGCCTTGACCCTGTCCTCTCTGAGCTCAAAGGCTCAGCTCAGGCCCTGCCCCCCAGGAGAGCTCTGGGCTGGGATGGAGTGAGCGGGGGTCTGAGCGGGGCTCAGCCAGTGGGAGACTCACCCTCAGAGGGAAGGAGGACAACAGGCCCTCCCAGGCCTGCGCACACTCAGCGGCATCGCCAGCATCATGGACAGGAGAGGCGGGTGGAGGGAGGGGCCTGGGGAGGCCACAGGGCCCATGTAGAGAAATTTGGTTTGAGGTGGAAACTTCAGGAAAGCCCCAGCTCCTCACCCTCCTCTCATTCTTTCACCCAGGACCCTCCATGGGTTCCAGCCCCCCACCCACCGGTCCCATCTCCACACCTGGTGAGTCCCTGAGGCCTCTGGCTCGAAGGGAGCGCAGCGACCCCCAGGGCAGCTTTGAGTGTCCAGGAGGATCCCATTCCCTTCAGGGACTCAATCAAGGGCTTCTGTCCAGGGAGCTGGGCAGAGCCAGAGGAGGGGCCACAGGGTCCCCAGGGCTCTGAGGCTGGGCTGGTGAGGGGTGGGGGATCGAGGCAGAGAGAAGTGTTGGGGCCCAGCCTGGGGGAGGAGCAGCCAGGCTGATGTGGGGAGCAGGGCAGCCCCAGCCCTCACCTCCCCCTCCTGACCCAGCAGGCCCTGAGGACCAGCCCCTCACCCCCACTGGGTCGGATCCCCAAAGTGGTGAGTGAGGGGCTCTGAGTGGGAGGTGGGCGGGGTCCCGGGGAGGCAGGGGTGGGTTCTGTCCTAGGTTCAGGCTCCTCTGGAGGTGGTGATGTAGACAGGCTCCTCCCCTGCCTGGGCCTCAGTTTCTCCAAGTGTAAAGGAGAGAGGCCTGCAGGTGGGAAAGTTCCTTTCAGCTCTCACTCCCAGCTGTGACCTCCTGGGAGAGGAGGCCCCTCAGGGAAGACTCCAAGACTCGATTCCGCGGGGGCCTGTCCCGTCCCACCTGCAGCAGAGACGGTGACCTGGGGCAGGGGAGGGGAGCAGAGTCGTGGTTCAGGACGGTCAGGCTCTTTCCCTGCAGCTCCGGGGCTCGGCTCTGGTGCAGGAACAAGGGCTGCAGGTCAGACTCCCGGGCTCCCTTCCCAGCTCTGCCGCTTCCTGGCTGGGGGCCCGGGGCAGGCGATTCCCCTCTCTGAGCGTCAGTTTTTCATCTGTAGAGTGGGTGGGGTGGATGTTTGTGTGCTGCACGACTGTTGTGGGGGTTGGAGGTGGTGAACAGAAGGTCCAGCAGTCACCTGCACACAGTAGGCGCTCATTTCAATGACATCACCCCCATCCCTGACATCATCGTGCTCAAGGTCTGGGAAGGCACCTGGGGGTTGTGATCGGCATCTTGGTGGCCGTCGTCCTACTGCTCCTCCTCCTCCTCCTCCTCTTCCTCATCCTCCGACATCGACGTCAGGGCAAACACTGGACATCGAGTGAGTAGGGAAGGGGAAACCCTGTGGGCCGACCGAGGGTGGGCTCAGGGCACAGCCAAAGAGAATCCAAACCACTGGGCAAATGCAGCTTTGAGAAACTGTTCCAGCATTTCTCACCAGGTGAATGGAGAAAGCACTTAACGTCAGTCCCATCTACAAATATAAAGTGTCCTCCGGGCTCAGTCCCATCTACAAATGTAAAGTGTCCTTCGGACTCTGTCCATCTCATGAGGCATTTGGAACATGGAGGCAGGAGTGTTTTTAGGTTTCCTTCCTTACCTTCGAGCTGTGTGTGCAGGGCAGGGGGCTCCAATGTTCCCAGGGCTGAGGCTCTGTCCTTCTTCCCCCAGCCCAGAGAAAGGCTGATTTCCAACATCCTGCAGGGGCTGTGGGGCCAGAGCCCACAGACAGAGGCCTGCAGTGGAGGTAATTCTGCCCGAAGACCCCAGACTCCCACCTGCTCGTGGCCCATACACTGCCCCTAAAGCTCCCATTCCTCCCCCAGGTCCAGCCCAGCTGCCGACGCCCAGGAAGAAAACCTCTGTGAGTGAGAGGAAGAGGTGACCAGCCAGGAGGGAGATAGGGGCCCCGAAGTTTCCGTAGCAATGGGGAAAGGGGCACCGGCTGGAAAGGGTCTGGGGCTCAGGGTGAGATCATCTCACCCCACACTGTGGGACCTCAGGGACATTGCAGCCCCTCCCTGCATCTCAGTAGCCCCATCTGGGAGCAGGGCAGGGGCTGGCAGGACTCAGAGGTCCCAGGGAACCTTCCCAAGAGACGAACCCCTTGCTCTGCCCCAGCAGATGCTGCCGTGAAGGACACACAGCCTGAAGATGGGGTGGAGATGGACACTCGGGTGAGACCCCGCCCCTGTCCCAGGCACCAAAGGCCTCCTGGTGCCAGATCTAATCCAGCAGGACTTCTCTGTCCTCCTTCCCCCGGCTCTCAGCATCGTCACGGTGGACCCCTCCTTGTCCAGCACGCTGCCTCCCGCCTGCTGTGACCTCACTCTCTCCTGCTGTCCTGGGACCTCGTGGGCCTCCTCCCGGGTCCCCTTCCTGCTCCTCATCCTCTGTTTGGCCGTCTGGTTGTTAGAGCGCTCCCCAGGCCTCTGGAGGATGAGGAATAAATGAACCACCCCGGTCCCCTGGGCTCCCCTTCATTCATTCAACCAGTGAGTGTTCCCAGGGAGCTCACTGTGGATCAGGCTCCCCATGGGAGCTGCAGACACAGCAGGGAGCAAAGCCGCCCCCGCCTCCTGAGCTCACCTCGTGGTGGGAGACAAAATGCAAATAAATGCGCCATGTCCAGGAGTGCAACGTGCTTAAAGGAACATACACCAGGGAAAGGGCAGAGAGTGTGGGGCAGTGGGGCCAGTCTGAATGGAAGGGGAGGGCTGTCTGCTCAGCTGTCATCTGAGAAGCCTGGACAGAGTGGGGCACACGATCCTCTAATGGACGAGCCCCTGCAGGCAGAGGAAACAGCCGTGCAAAGGCCCCGAGGCAGCAGCGAGCTCTTGCGGGAAGGCCCATGAGGCTGCAGCCAAATGGGCAAGGTCAGAGTGAGGAGCAGAGGCCAGAACCACAGGAAGGGAGCGGCCAGACCCTCCACGGCCTTAGGGCGTCCCTGAGATTCCATCGGGAAAGGGATGTAATCGGATCACCCCGGGAACAGTGAGGAAAATTGACTCCAGGAGGTCAGGGGGACTCAAGGACACCCCCCACCACTGTCTCTCTCCAGCAGAGCCCACATGATGAAGACCCCCAGGCAGTGACATATGCCCCGGTGAAACACTCCAGACCTAGGAGAGAAATGGCCTCTCCTCCCTCCCCACTGTCCGGGGAATTCCTGGACACAAAGGACAGACAGGCAGAAGAGGACAGACAGATGGACACTGAGAGAGTCCTTTCCTCTCCAGGCCCCCAGGCCTCCCCCACCCCCACCACGTTCCTTACCTCTCACTCTCCCCCGCTGCAGGCTGCTGCATCTGAAGCCCCCCAGGATGTGACCTACGCCCAGCTGCACAGCTTGACCCTCAGACGGAAGGCAACTGAGCCTCCTCCATCCCAGGAAAGGGAACCTCCAGCTGAGCCCAGCATCTACGCCACCCTGGCCATCCACTAGCCCGGAGGGTACGCAGACTCCACACTCAGTAGAAGGAGACTCAGGACTGCTGAAGGCACGGGAGCTGCCCCCAGTGGACACCAATGAACCCCAGTCAGCCTGGACCCCTAACAAAGACCATGAGGAGATGCTGGGAACTTTGGGACTCACTTGATTCTGCAGTCGAAATAACTAATATCCCTACATTTTTTAATTAAAGCAACAGACTTCTCAATAATCAATGAGTTAACCGAGAAAACTAAAATCAGAAGTAAGAATGTGCTTTAAACTGAATCACAATATAAATATTACACATCACACAATGAAATTGAAAAAGTACAAACCACAAATGAAAAAAGTAGAAACGAAAAAAAAAAACTAGGAAATGAATGACGTTGGCTTTCGTATAAGGAATTTAGAAAAAGAATAACCAATTATTCCAAATGAAGGTGTAAGAAAGGGAATAAGAAGAAGAAGAGTTGCTCATGAGGAAAAACCAAAACTTGAAAATTCAACAAAGCCAATGAAGCTCATTCTTGAAAATATTAATTACAGTCATAAATCCTAACTACATTGAGCAAGAGAAAGAAAGAGCAGGCACGCATTTCCATATGGGAGTGAGCCAGCAGACAGCCCAGCAGATCCTACACACATTTTCACAAACTAACCCCAGAACAGGCTGCAAACCTATACCAATATACTAGAAAATGCAGATTAAATGGATGAAATATTCAAAACTGGAGTTTACATAATGAACGTAAGAGTAATCAGAGAATCTGACTCATTTTAAATGTGTGTGTATGTGTGTGTATATATATGTGTGTGTGTGTGTGTGTGTGTGTGTGAAAAACATTGACTGTAATAAAAATGTTCCCATCGTATCAACTCCAGTTCAGGAAGTTTCACTGGTGATTTCTTACAAATATTGACGCACTAATGAAACACACAAACACACCCAGAGCATCACAAATGTTTCTTGAGAATAGAAAAAGAGGCAATGTGCCCGGGTGCGGTGGCTCACGCCTGTAATCTCAACACCTAGGGAGGCAGAGGCCACAGATTACTTGAGGCCGGGAGTTCAAGACCAGCATGGCCAACAAGGCAAAACCCCATCTCTACTAAAAATACAAAAATTAGCTGGACATGGTGGCGCACGCTGCAATCCCAGCTACTTGGGAGGCAGAGGCAGGAGGATCACTTGAATGAACCCGGGAGGTGGAGGTTGAAGTGAGCAAAAACAAACCCCCTACAATTCAGCCTAGGATATGTTTATTAAATTTACATTTGTCTTTTTGCTTAAGATTGCTTTGGTATTCATCCTCTTTTTGGTTCCATATGAATTTTAGGATTTTTTTCTAATTCTGTGAAAAAAATGATGTTGATATTTTGATGGGAATTGCATTGAACCTAAATATTGCTTTGGGAAGTGTGATCATTTTCACAATATTGATTCTGCCAATCCATGAGCATGGGATATATTTCTATTTTGCTGTGTCATCTACGATTTCTTTCTGCAGCATTTTGTTGTTCTTCTTGTAGAGATCTTTCACCTCCTCAGTTAGGTATATTCTTAGATATTTTTAATTTTTTGCAACTGATGTACAAGGGATTGAGTTTTGCAGCAACCTGGATGAGCTGGAGGCCATTATTCATGACACCACATCCAGCTAATTTTTGTATTTCTTGTAGAGATGAGGTTTTGCCATGTTGCCCAGGCTGGTCTTGAACTCCTGGGCCCAAGTGACCCGCCCGCCTTGACCTCCCAAAGTGCTGGGACTGCAGGCATGAGCCACGGTGCCTGGCCCATCATAGCACTTTTGATCATTAGGATAATTCCTTCTCCTTGTCATTTTTGGACACATGCTTCCCACATGCCTCATCTTCCAGAGAGGGTTTCCACCAGGGCTGTGCTGGGAGTTAAGGCTGGAAAAGGGGAGATGGTTCCACCTGCCAGTGCCACATGAGTCTACTCAGGGCTGTAACCAGCAGGGAGGGTCCAGTGTGAGCCTCAGACTCGCATGTGGGACAGACGCCCATGTGTGACAACGCTGCAGTGAATCTGTTTCACACACATGGAGGAGGCGGCTCAGGGCTGACCATGGACCTGAGTCAATGAGCAGAGATATCCCAGTGCCATCCACAAACACAGGGGAGAAGGAGCCACAACTTCCCACTTTCATCCAAAACCCCGACCCCTCCCTGTCTGTGAGGGCCCTGGGGTTCTCCTCTGTCTCATACAGAGGCAGAAACCTCCCCCTTAGTGACCCCCAGCTTTGCAAGTCACCAGCAGCCCCTCGGCGCTGGCATCTTCTGCTTCTTAAGGTTTCCTGCCTATGACAGGAAGTCTCATTTCTCATTTTCTTCATTGGACCATGGCTACATATTTCAGACACATTATAAGTAGGTTTTCCCAGTGTTAGGAGCAGATGTGGGCTGTTGAGCACATAAGTCACTCACCGTGACTGTGCAGTCCAACACCAGGATCCACTCATGTTTCAACCCCCAAGACTTAACCCGGTCTGGAAATGTACCATGACTGAGGCCCTCCCATGACCCAGGCACCACTGGCCCCCAAAACCACTCAGGAGGGGGGTTCATGACAACAGGCTCCAAATGAGGAAACCGAGGCTCAGAGATGGGACTTACTGCCCAAGGTCATGCACGCAGGGATGAAGGTGAGCAATTCAGAAAAAATTAACTCCCTATCCCACCCCCAAATCAGAGCTCAAGACAAGTACTTGTTCCCAAAACCTTGAAGGCAGACTGAGATGCAGGGGAATGCCCAAGGAAGCGGGGCTGGGGGTGGGAGGGACGCCAAGGAGGCAGGAATGACTCAGAGGTTACTTTTAAGGGAGGGGGACCTGAACACTATTAAAAAAAATAGGAAGAAAAAAAAGAAGGGAAGTCTAAGAAGGAAACTGGAAGAAATAAAACCCATACTCCAAAGACAAAAGAAGAGTCAGCATTTCTTTATTTCTCCTTTTTTCTTCTCATTGCCAATTGCAGCTCAACTTGAATTTCACAGCCCGATGTGAGATGCGTCTCTGCTGATCTGAGCCTGTCCTGCAGCATGGACCTGCAACTTTCCTGAAGCATCTCCAGGGCTGGATGCCATGGTAAGGATCCCGCAATGCTGTGTTGATGGACAGGCTGAAGGAGGGAAGAGAACCCCACAGGGAGGCTCTGAGAAGAAGAACAAGCCCCCAGTCACCCTCACTTGGACAGGACAGACTCAGAAAGGTGCTGGGTCTGTCGGCTCCTACGTCCTGACCCTTGATGAGATGAAGACAGATGAGGCAAATCGCAGAAAAGGGTCAGGGAGATACCATTTCTGTATGAAGTATCTGAAGACAGCCTGGTGCCTGCCCCAGTCCCAGCCTTGGGGAAATGAAAGTCAAGCTCCCGGAGAGGGCAGTTCCCCTTCTTTTGGGGCTGATGACGGGACAACCTCGTGATGGAGAACCCAGGTTCCCAGTAGATTTACTCCATCCAGGAACGGTGGCCTCATCCATCTGCACAGCTGGGGGCTGTGGAGGAGACGCCATGACTCCCTCCCACAAACCTCTGATCTGTCTTGATGAAATTGAAAGAGGGAGAGGGGAGACTGTAGCCTGGAAGGAATCCCACCTCACAACTTGGTCCTGATTGAATAGAAGACCCCAGAGGTTCACAGAGATCCCAAGGTGGGGAGGATCTGCCCAGGGTTCAGGAGGCGAATCTCTCTCAGGAAGCTCCGTGACCCCCTCTCTAGTGTCACTCCTGTGCCTCAGTGGGATTTGGAGAGGATGCCTTAGATTAGAGGGTATTGTTCAGTGGGATTTGGAGAGGATGCCTTAGATTAGAGGGTATTGTGTCTTTCAGCAACAAAACCGTACAAAAAAACACCTGGACATTTCACATCAGTGGATAAAGCATATCTTGTGCCAAATCAGGACCAAACTGCGGTGAAATTTCGGGTTCACATTACAGTTAATCGCCTTTGAGGAAAGCATTCCAGGTTGGTGCCTATCTCTGCGATAAACGTCTCCCTTCCTGGCTACAGGTAATGGATTAAAGCGACACTGGCCGAACAGACACTGTCTTCACCCGATGATTATACTGAAAAATGGCCATAAATTTGTTCCCTCCAAATCCAATTCCCTTTGTGACAACTCTCAAAAGAAGATATACGAACGGTCCACAAACATATGAAAAACATGTATGTGTATGTGTGTATATACACACACACAGCACGGAATACTACTCAGCCACAAAAAGGGACAAAATAATGGCATTCGCAGCAACCTAGATGCAGTTGGAGACCATTATTCCAAGTGAAGTAATTCAGAAATGGAAAACCAAACATCATATGGTCTCATAAGTGGGAGCTAAACTATGAGGATGCAAAGGCATAAGAAGGATATAATGGAATCTGGGGACTCACAGGGAACAATGGGAGGGGGATGAGCGATAAAAGACTACACATTGGGTGCAGTGTACACTGCTCGGGTGATGAATGCACCAAAATCTCAAAAATCACCACTAAAGAGCTTATCCACGTAACCAAACACCACCTGTTCCCCAAAAGCTATTGAATTTTTTTTTAAAAAATAATAAATTAAAATAAATGTACTACATTAAAAACAACAACAAAATGGCAAAAATCCAATTGCACATAGCAAAATGTTTTCGTGGTCTCTGCACGCTAGAGCATGTAATTGGTCTTTGTTCCTTTCTACTGTTGAAGAATATTCCATTCTATGCCTATATCACATTTGGTTTATGCATTCACCAATTGATGGACATTTGGGTTGTTTTCACTATTTAGCTATCATGAATAATGACAAAAAAAGGACATATATTTGTTTGGGTTTTTTTATTTTTAAAAGGTTACAATTATTTATTTATTTATTTATTTACTGAGACAAAGTTTCACTCTGTCGCCCAGGCTAGAGTGGAGTTGTGAGATCTTGGCTCACTGCAACCAGTTCAAGCAAATTTTTGTGCCTCAGCCTTCTGAGTAGCTGGGATTACAGTTGTGCACCACCACAGGAGGCTATTTTTTTTAATTTTAGTAGAGACAGGGTTTCGCCGTGTAGGCCAGGCTGGTCTCGAACTCCTAGACTCAAGCCTTCCACTCGCCTCAGCCTCCCAAAGTGCTGGGATTAGAGGCGTGAGCCATCACACCATGCCAAAAGGTTATAATCATTTAAATTCGGGTTGCAACTGTATGCTTACAATTCTCTACATTTAGATTTAAAAACATTTTATTGATGGTCAATCTGGAACATAATTAATGCATCTTAATTAAGTTTCCACTGATGTATATAGAAGGCTAAAGGCTGAAGTTTTATTCACCTCTAGTAGAGTAACCAACCATAAAATCATTAGTTACTTTCAACTTCATAACTAATTGACATTTCCCAAATGAGCTGTCTTTAATCCTGATAGTTCTTTAGTTTTAAAAATATATTTGCCATGGGATGCTGATTTGCAATGGGTGTCATAATGAGAATAACCAAAATTGGGTAAACGTGACAAAATGTTGACAAAATGTTTCACACCCTTAAATTACACAACGTCAATAATGAGGAGAAAGCATTGCAAAAGGAGACTACTGCAATGCTACTTATATTCTTGCAATAAAACCAGCAAAGCATCCACATCAAGAGAGTTCTCATCTCACTTCCAACTTCTTCCCCTCAAGAACAATTTGAATCTCTTTGGCACCTAAAGTCTCATAGGTCAATAAAGCTTCTGCTAGATTCTTATGCTCCTCTGCATGACTTTTCAAGATAAGTTTTGCTCATTTTTTTTTTAAGGTTTGCATCATTCTTCTTCATTTTTGACTTGATTTTCCATTCAACATCACCAACAAGTTTTTAGCGAAATGTAATAATTATATAATTAAACATCTTTCATGGATCACCCTATCCATCTCTACTATATAAATTTAAGATTCTAAATGTTTTAAAAATACTTCTTGATTATGGTTATTAATTGTTCACATGTCCACTGGTAAATATTACTTATTCCTAGACTGAAACAGAGCTAAACGTCAATACTATATCTAGTTTTCATTTGTATAGATACAGGACTGAGAAAATTTGTTCATCTAAATAAATACTATGGATGGGGTAGGATGGTGTTTTGTTATAACCATGTCATACAATTATTTGAATTTTGAATAAGTTTTGCTCATTTATATGAGTCCCTTAGAATGGTTCTTATTTCATGTTCAATAGCAGATTGAGTTTCTGGACTTAGTTTCCCTGTGTCACTGTAGGTCATAACTCCAAGCTTTTCGCTAATTCCAAATTTGATAACCATCTGCTTTGCCATTTTAGTGGCATTAGCAAAATCACTGGAAGCACCTGTTGTAATATGGTCAATTCCAAATATAAGCTCCTCTGCCACTCTTGCTCCCATACTAATGTCCATTTGTGCAAGCAGCTGGGCTCTGGTTTCATTCCATCTGTCATCACCAGGTAATGGGGACACAGGTCCAAATGTTGGCCCCTGTGGCATGATTGTAGCTTTGTTGATAGACATTTCATCTTTTGTGTAATATGCAATAATGGCATGACCAGATTCATGATAAGTTGTGATGGATTTGTTTTTGTTATCAATTTCTGTACTTCTTCTGTCAGGCCACATTATAATTTTGTCTTTGGAAAACTTCAGTTCCTTCATGGTAACCACTTCTTTTCCATCAACAGCTACAAAAGGACGTGTATTTGGTGTGATTTTATGCACATGAAATATCCAGAATAGACAAAGCCATAGAAACTGAGAGTAGACTAGTGATTTCTTAAGGCTGAGGGAAGGGAAGAACTAGGACTGACTACTTGGGGGTTCTTTCTGAGGTGATGGAAATGCTGTGGGATGAGGTAGGGATGGTGATTGCACAGCATAGTGAAGACACTAAAATCCATTTATTTGTACACTAAAAAATGGTGCATTTCATATGGTGTGAGTTATGTCACATAACTCAGTAAGTAAATAAATAATTCATATCCCGGCTTCTGCCCAGGGTTTGGGGAGCTGGAAAGAGTTTCACTAGCTGGGTGCGGTGGCTCACACCTGTAATCCCAGCATTTTGGGAGGCTGAGGTGGGTGGATTGCCTAAGGTCAGGAGTTTGAGACGAGCCTGGAAAACATAGTGAAACCCTCTCTCTACTAAAAATACAAAAAAAAAGCTGGGCATGGTGGCACATGCCCGTAATCCCAGCTACTGGGGAGGCTGAGGCAGGAGAATCACTTGAACCCAGGAGGCAGAGGTTGTAGTGAGCCAAGAACACGCCATTGCACTCCAGCCTGGGCAACAAAAGCGAAACTCCATCCCTCCCCCTCCCTCCCCCACTCCAAAAAAAGAGCTTCTCTGCAATCCTAACCATGAGTAAAACTCAGATCAACTCCATAATGTAGATTTCACCTGAGACCATCAGAAATCCGAGCTCTGGGAGCAACTGAGTAACCTGAATTCCAAGGAGGAGTAGGATGCCATGACAGGCTCTACAAAGGCAGAACACATGAGGGTGGGAGACTGCCATACAAGCTGGGAAGGAGGAATCAGATGATATTGTCATGAATTCCTCAAGAGTCAGTGTTTGCTGGCCTCCAAGAGGCAAGGATCTCTGGGAACTTAAGACAGAGAAGCACTTCACACTCACCCATGAGCTCTTTTCCGTGGGTCTCAACTGGGCATTCACAACATAGATTGGAAGTAAGGTGGAGACCCAAAATTTGTGATCAGACATGATTACCTTCCACAGTGTGTGGCCTGAAATCTCACCCCCTGCCCAGATACTTCTCCCATGTGTAGAAAAAGACTGAAGTCATTGAGAGAGGTTCAGAAAAACCAGCCAATCTCAGGCCCCAGGTAAAAACCCATTGTGGATATAAGAAGGTAGATTTAAAAGTCCCTCTATCCCTAGGAGTACTGCAGAAAATTCCTGAAACCATAATCCCAGATATACAAATGTCAGGGAAGGGACAGGAAATTCCTGCCCAAGTCAACCAAAGCTACCAAGTACAATCCAGCTGCCAAGGGGAAGAAGGACACAAACACTGAGCAAGCTCCACCCTCAAGGCCCACTCATATAGAAATTGTCCAAGACTGAGGCTGGGTGAGGACAGGAGAAATTTATACTCCCTACCATGAGCCTATCCCTGAGAAGCAAGCAAGAGCAGTCCACAGCTGGGGGAGGCACCAGGTGGAGTACAGAATTGATGCAGTGGAATCCATCCAGCTGTGGGGTCAGCAGGCCCAATGCAAGCAGGAGGGGCCCGTGAATGGGATAGCCATGGAGCAAGAAAGGAGGACATGCATGAACCCAACACCAGTGACTCCCTCTCACCAAGGACCACGTAGCCACCACTGTAGCTGAAAGTCTCACCTGTGACCAGCAGAGAGGTCTGGATGTGATGCCTGGTAGTAACTTGATGCCATGGAACACATTCCACCCACGAGGGGGCAGCAAACCTTCCTTAGTCTGAAGGATGCTTGTGCTGAAAATGGGTTTGACGGAGCTCCTCGCAGGGGTCTGTGAGCACTCAGAATGTCTGACTTGTTTAAACGAAATAACCCATGACTTATTCTCAGAATGGGAATCCAGATGCCCACAAAATCCGTGGAGGGAATGAGAACATGGCCACGTGATATTCTGGGAATGACCTGAGATATGTACTATGCAGTGGTTTGGTTTTACTGGGACTGAAAGAACATTGAAATGGCCTCTTGAAATTGGATGTATTGAACAGTTTGTGAATGAGACTCTGCAGTTTGGGGGTTCTGTTACAGTAGCTGTAAATAAGCATACAGAAAGCTGTAGATGATATACATACAGATATAGCTATAAAGACAATAAATGGACCAGGTGCGGTGGCTCACGCCTGTAATCCCAGCATTTTGGGAGGCCAGGGCAGGTGGATCACCTGAGTTCAGGAGTTCGAGACCAGCCCGATCAACATGGTGAAACGCCATCTCTATTAAAAATACAAAAATTAGCCAGGCGTGGTGCTGCTCGCCTGTAATCCCAGCTACTTGGGAGGCTGAGGCAGGAGAATCGCCTGAACCCGGGAGGCGGAGGTTGCAGTGAGCCAAGATTGCACCATTGCACTCCAGCCTGGGCAACAAGGGCAAAACTCCGTCAAAAAAATAAAAAATAATAAAAAATAAATAAAACAATAAATCATGGTATGTCTTTTGACAGGTAGAATGCATGGGCTTGGGAGTAAAGTGAGAGTTTAATGAACAGCATCTATCACTAACTTTACAGATGACA
Organism: Homo sapiens; assembly: GCF_000001405.40. Lineage (NCBI taxonomy): Eukaryota > Metazoa > Chordata > Mammalia > Primates > Hominidae > Homo > Homo sapiens. Next base: position 240,419 of record NW_003571060.1, on the reverse strand, counting down.
CACTTGGGAGATGTGCACATCCTGTGACTGCACTTTTAGGTGACCCTGGGTTAGAAGATCTGCCTGGTAAGAAACCACTACCAGGGAACAACACAAAAATTACTCTGTACCTAAAATGATGATGTAGCTGGTTTTCCTTGGGTTTCCTCATTACAGTACATCAGCAGGTAAGGAGAAAGATATCATACTGGCCTGGGTAATTTTCTTTAACGATGAGGAGGAGGATTTGGTGAAGAGAGGGTGGTTGGGCAGCTTAGATAATTCACTGTGGCAGTGATGAATTCTCCATAGCTGGAGGTAACCATGACTGGGGTTGGGGTTTGCACTGTGTCTCCAAAAAGGTATGTTGACATCCTAACCTCCCGTAGCTGTGAATATGAACTTATTTGGAAATAGGATCTTTGCAGGTATAATTAGTTAAGATGTGGTCATGCTGGCTTCGGGCAGGATCTAAATCCAATATTGCTCACATCTTTATAAGACATGAAGAAGACACACAGAGAAGAATAGGATGCCATGTGAAGATGGAGGCAGAGATTAGAATGAGAAGTCTGTAAACCAAGGAATGCCAAGAAATGCCAGCAAGGACCAAAGTCTAAGAAAAAGGCACAAAAGTGGCCGGGCGTGGTGGCTCATGCCTGTAATCCCAGCACTTTGGGAGGCCGAGGCGGGCAGATCATGAGGTCAGGAGATCGAGACCATCCTGGCTAACATGGTGAAACCCCGTCTCTACTAAAAATACAAAAAAATTATCCGGGTGTGGGGGCGGGCACCTGTAGTCCCAGCTACTGGGGAGGCTGAGGCAGGAGAATGGCATGAACCCGGGAGGCGGAGCTTGCAGTGAGCCGAGATCGCGCTACTGCAGTCCAGCCTGGGAGACAGAGCGAGATTCCATCTAAAAAAAAAAAAAAGAAAGAAAGAAAGAAGGAAAAAGCACAGAAGTTTCTTCTTCAGAGCCTCTAGAAAGAAGAAATTATATGAACATTTTGATTTTTTATTTCTGGCCTGCAGAACTCTGAGAGAATAAGTTTATCTTCTTTTTATTCAATACTTTGTGATAATTTGTTATATCAGCCTCCAAGAAACTAACACAATGGGCAACTCCCACAAGAAAGCCTGAAACAGGCACAATAATCAGGTGCTCAGATGCCTCAAGGTTGAAATTTATGTTTATTTCATTGGGCCGATAGTTGAGACAAGTAGAGTTTCTCATGCGAACTCTGGCAGAAGGTAAGCAGAACCTAGAGAGGGTGATAGACAGCAAAGCTGGTAAATATAAAGGATGACCTCGGGGTCAATTACAACAGAGAACACTGTACTTCTCCCCATTCACACCCATATGCTTTGTTTGCCTCATTTGTAGATAAATGTGTCCAGTGTGTTGTTGCTTTGGCAGCACATATACCAAAATCAGAATGATACAGAGAAGATCAGCATGGCAGCTGCACAAGGATATTAACAAATTTCATGAAGCATTTTATATATATATATTTTTTTTTAATGTGTCCAGCAAAGACCTGGAAGAAGTTATAGTGTGAAAAGACATGAACATGAAGTTCATGGGGCTATGAGCAGGGCAAAGTGTGGACTGCAACAGACAGGACAGACCCTGGTGATGCCCCATCGATGTTGCCTGGATCATGTCTTTTTTTTTTTTTTTTTTTTTTTTTTGAGACAGGCAGAGTTTTGCTCTTGTTGCCCAGGCTAGAGTCCAATTTTTGAGATGGAGTCTCACTCCGTCACCAGGCTGGAGTGCAGTGGCGCAATCTCGGCTCACTGCAACCTCCGTCTGCCGGGTTCAACTGATTCTCCTGCCTCAGCCTCCTGAGTAGCTGGGACTACAGGCGTGCACCACCACACTGGGCTAATTTTTGTATAATAGTGTGAGTTAATACTTAATAAACACTCGTATATATATATATATATATACACACACACATATATATATGGTGTATATACATATATATGTATGTGTATATATACACACATATATATACACACACATATATATACACACATGCATATATATACACACATATATGATTTTATATATATATATGTATACACACACACACACCAGGCTAATTTTTGTATAATAGTGTGTTAATACTTAATAAACACCCATATAGATATGGTGTATATACATATATATGTATGGTATATATATGTAGGGTATATATATACACACATATATACACACACATATATACACACAAACATATATGTACACACATATATATACACACACATATATATACACACATATATGTACACACACATATATTTTTTGATATGTGTACATATATATACACCAGATACGATTATATATATATACACACAAACATATATATACACACATATATATACACAGAAACATATATATACACACATATATACACACAAACATATATATACACACACATATATATACACACACATATATACACACACATATATACATACACATATATATACACACAAACATATATACACACACATATATATACACACATATATACACACACATATATACATACACATATATATACACACATATATACATATATTTTTTGATATGTGTATATATACACACATATATATACCCCAGATATGATTTTATATATATACACACATATATATACACACATATATATAAACAAACATATATATACACACACATATATATACACACAAACATATATACACACACATATATACACACACATATACACACACATATATATACACACAAACATATATGCACACACATATATACACACACATATACACACACATATACACACACATATATACACACACATATATACACACACATATATACACACACATATACATATATATTTTTGATATGTGTATATATACACACATATATATACACCAGATACGATTTTACACACACACACACACACACATATATACGCCATTAGTTGTGTCCCTCTAGAGAACCCTAATACACAGCGTGTCACACTAGCGCAGGCACAGGCCATCACTCTTGTGAACACCCAAGGCACCGTTTCCACTTCAGCTCGGTCCCTGAGGGTCAGGATGCATCTGCCACTGGGAAAGGTGGATCGAGTGGCTCTAGGCAGCTTGGCACGACAGGGTAGTATAGAGCAACAGCTCAGCCTGGGGATGGCAGGCCACCAGGCAAGGCTGGCTCAGCAGTGACAATCCCTCAGCAGTGAAAGGATGCTGCGGCTACGTGTCCCCCAGAGATCCAGAAGTAGATCCCATTCCACAATGGCATAGTGCCAGAGCCGTGATGGCCGTGGACAGTGGGGCACAGTGTCAGTCTTTTCTCCTGGGTGAGTGCAGCTGTGTGGAATCTGGGTAGCTCCGTCAGCTGTGCTTAGTGTCTGTGAAAGGGAATCTCCAATGGTGAGATCTACAGGTGTCCAAAGTGTTGATGGAAGCTGCTAGGTCTTTTTCTCAGCTTTTTCCAGCAAGGAGAAGTCCCTCTTTATTCCAAGCTGATCCTGACTGAAGGATGGGGTGATAGAGGTGCAGTGCTACTTTCATTTATTACGTGGCCATCCTGTGATTTTTAATGAAATGGCTAAAATGGCAGACATAGAATTCAGAATCTGGATGCCAAACTAAGATCACTGAGGTTCAGAAGAAAGTTGAAACCCAATCCAAGGGATATAAGGAACCCAGTAAAATGACACCAGAGGTGGAAGATGAAATAGACATTTTAAGAAAGAAAGAAACTGATTTTATAGAGCTGAAAAACTCATTACAAAAATTGCATAATATAATAAAAAGTAGTAACGGCAAAATAGACCAAGGTGAGAAGAAAATCTCAGAGCTCAAAGACTGCTTCTATGGCCAGGCGTGGTGACTCACGCCTGTAATCCCAGCACTTCGGGAAGCTGAGGCGGGCGGATCAACTGAGGTCAGGAGTTCGAGACCAACCTGACCAACATGGTGAAACCCCATCTCTACTAAAAATACAAAATTTGCCGGACGTGGTGGTGCATGCCTGTAATCCCAGTTACTAGGGAGGCTGAGGCAGGAGAATTGCTTGAACCCATGAGGTGGAGGTTGCAGTGAGTCAAGATTGTGCCATTGCACTCCAGCCTGGGCAACAAGAGCGAAACTCCATCTCAGAAAACAAAAATAAAAACAAAATTAAAAAAGACTGCTTCTGTGAATCAACGCAGTCAGACAAAAATAAAAAAAATAGAATTTAAAAGAATGAACAAAACCTCTGAGAATTATGGGATTATGGAAAGAGACAAAACCTATGACCCATTGGCATCCCTGAGTAAGAAAGGAAGCAAGCAACTTGAGAAACATATTTGAGAATATTATCAATAAAAATTTCCCCAACCGCACTAGAGAGCCAACATTCACATTTAGGAAACTCAGAACACCCCAGTGAGATACTATACAACAAAACCATCCACAAACAACATACTCATCAACTTCTCCAAGATCAACGTGAAAGAAAATTATTCATGGCAGCTAGAGAGAATAGGCCAGTCATCCAAAAGACGTACCTCATCAGGCTAACAGTGAACCTTTCAGCATAACCCTAAAAGTCAGAAGATATTAAAGATATTAGGGTATATTTTCAGCATTCTTTTTTTTTTTTTTTTGAGACAGAGTCTCGCTCTGTCACCCAGGCTGGAGTCACCCAAGCAGCGACTGTGTGCTTGGGGAAGGGAGAAGGCAGGACTGAACTCAATGCTGCCCTGTCACACTGGAAAGCCACACTGGGCTGATTGCAACTGATGCCCGTTCATGGAGAAAGCATTTGATGAGCTCTACCCAAAGGGGAACTGCCCAGAAAATCAGTTGGAACTTGAGATTCAGCAAGTCCCACCTGAGACCTCAGGCTAAAGTGCTCTGGGTTTGTTTTTTTGTTTTGTTTTGGTTTTAGATGGAGTCTCGCTCTGTCATCCCAGGCTGGAGTGCAGTGGTGCAATCTCGGCTCACTGCAACCCCTGCCTCCCAGATTCAAGCGATTCTACTGCCTCAGCCTCCCAAGTAGCTGGGACTACAGGCACGTGCCACCATGCCCAGTTAATTTTTGTATTTTTAGTAGAGATGGGATTTGGCCATATTGGCCAGGCTGGTCTCAAACTCCTGACCTCATGATCTGCCCGCCTCAGCCTCCCAAAGTGCTGAGATTACAGGTGTGAGTGACTGCGCCTGGTCTGGGGTCTTAAACAAGCTTGAAAGAGTCTAGGCCACAAGTACTGTGATTCCTGGGAAAATCCTAGTGCTGTGCTGAGTTTGGAGCCAGTGAATTTAGAGAAATCAGCAAACGTAGCTAAGGGTGTACTTGTTTCATCCTTCCCACTACCCAAGGCAGCACAACTTGTAGCAACAAAAGTGATTCCTTCCTTCTGATTGAAGAGAGGAGAGGGAAGAATAAAGAGGACTTTGTCTTTTATCTTGGATACCCACTCAGCCACAGTAAGATAGGGCAACAGGCAGAGTCCTGAGGTCCCCATCCCAGATGCTAGCTCCTGGACAACATTTTTCCACATACCCTAGGCCAGAAGGGAAATTGCTGCCTTGTGGGGAAGGATTTAGTCCTGGCAGAATTCATCACTTGCTAACTGAAGAGCTCTCAGGCCCTGAATAACCAGCAGCAATATACAGGTACTATGTCGTGGGCCTTAGGTGAGACTCTGAGACTTGCTGGCTTCAAGTGAGACTCAGCACCTTCCCAGCCATGTTGACTGTGGGGTGAGAAAAGTGGAAGAAAAAGTAAAAGGGACTTTGTATTGCACCTTAGGTACCAGCTCAACAACAGGGGATAGAGTGCCAAGTAGGCTCTCAGGTCCTCAATTCAAGGACTTTGCTCTTAGAGATCATTTCTGGACCTGCCCTGGGCCTGGGCAGAGCCCAGTGTCATGACGGATGAATAGCAGGCCAGGAAGCCTTCACCACAAGCTGACTGAAGATCCCTTAGGGCTTAAGAGAACACTGGCAGTTCTCCCTGTAAGCCTGTTGTGGCAGTGGTCATGGCATGAGGCTCCTTTGCCTTAAGAAAGGGGAGGGATGAGTAGGAAGGACAGTATCTTGTGGCTTGAGTGCCAGGTCAGCTGCAGTGCAATAGAACGCCGGGTGGACTTCAAGGATTTTATTTATTTATTTATTTATTATTATTATTATTATTATTTTGAGATGGAGTTTCACTCTTGTCACCCAGGCTGGAGTGCAATGGCTTGATCTCGTCTCACCGCAACCTCCGCCTCCCGGGTTCAAGCAATTCTCCTGCCTCAGCCTCCTAAGTAGCTGGGATTACAGGCATGCACCACCACGCCCAGCTAATTTTTTTGTATTTTTAGTAGAAACGGGGTTTCTCCATGTTGGTCAGGCTGGTCTCAAACTCCCGACCTCAGGTGATCCGCCCGCCTCAGCCTCCCAAAGTGCTGGGATTACAGGCGTGAGGCACCACGCACGGCGGCGGAATCTGTTAAACACAAAAACGGGAGAGGTGGCCCCATGCTGATCATGGACTTCAGTCAGTGGGCAGAGATATCCCAGCTCCTGTCCACAAGCACGAGCAAGGGTGAACCACAGCTTTTCTTTTCCTTTTTTTTTTTTCTTTTTTTGAGACGGAGTCTCACTCTGTCCCCCAGGCTAGAGTGCAGTGGCGCGATCTCAGCTCACTGCAAGCTCTGCCTCCCAGGTTCACACCATTTTCCTGCCTCAGCCTCCCAAGTAGCCGGGACTACAGGCGCCCGCCACCACGCCCGCTTAATTTTTTCTATTTTTTTTTTTTTAAGTAGAGACGGGTTTTCACCGTGTTAGCCAGGATGGTCTCGATCTCCTGACCTCGTGATCTGCCCATCTCAGCCTCCCAAAGTGCTGGGATTATAGGCGTGAGCCACCGCGCCGGGCCGGGCCACAGCTTTTCATCTTCATCTGGAGCCCCTACCCCCTCCCTTTCCATGAGGACCTGGGGTTCCTCTTCTGTCCCACACAGAAGTGGAAATTTCCTCCCTAATGACCCTGGGACAGTCTTAGACACAAGCAGGCTGTCAGCTTTCAAGTTTGTTCTTTGATGTGCAACCTTCTCAAATTAAAGAACTTTTCATTTCTTTTTCTGCACAAAACTTTCATAATCTACATATTTCGGATGTATAATCTACATATTTCAGATGTGTGTATGTGTGTGTGTGTGTATATATATATATATATATATATATATATATATATATATGTATGTTTTGAGACAGGGTCGTGCTCTCTCACCCAGGCTGGAGTGCAGTGCTATGATCATACCTCACTACAGCCTGGACCACCCAGGCTCAAGCAATCTTCCCACCTCAGTGTCCCAAATAGTTGGGACTGCAGTCGTGCACAAACATACCTGATTATTTCTTCTTTGTTATATGCAGAGACGGGGTCTCACTATGTTCCCCAAGCTGGTCTTGAACTTCTGAGCTCAAGGGATCCTCCATCCTCAGCCTCCCTAGGTGCTCAGATTACAGGGGTGGGCCACCGTGCCGGGAACTTCAAACATAAGGAGCATTTCTTGGTATTTGGAGCAGATGTGGGCTCTTGAGTTGGGGCATCAATCATCCTCCTCTACTACGGAGCTCAATGCCAGGATCCTCTCACACCCCAACCACTCCTGTCTTAATCTGGTCTGGAAATTCACCATGGCCAAGCCCCCTCCCATGTCCCAGGCACCACTGAGCCCCACATCCACTCTGAGAAGCTGAGGTCATGACCACAAGTTCCAAAAGAGAAAGGCTCAAGCAAGCCACTTTGCTGTCCAAGGTCACATAATCGGTGGAATTAGGAAGAAAATTCAGCTCCCCACTCCACCCCATGAATCAGATGACAAACCTGAGTAATTGTTCTGAAAACCTTGAACATGGTTGGAGGCACAGAGGGACGGCCAAGGACAAAGGGGCACTGAGGAGGCAGGAACGACTTAGAGGTTCATTCCCAGCGGAGGGGTTTTGTTGCTCTGCCCTAGCCCTTGGTGAGCTGAGTATAGGTCAGGCCGACAGCGGCTAGGGCTCAGGGAGACCCCATTTCTGTCTGAAATGTCTGCAGAGAGCCTGGAGCTCACCCCAGCCCCATCCCTGGGGAAATGAGAGCCAGGCTCTTGGGGAGGGCAGTTCCCCTTCCTGTGGGGCTTCCGATGGGACAGTCTTGTGACAGGGAGAACCCAGCCTCCAGTCCACACTCTGCGTGTTTTTGTGTCCTGCCAGGCACCGTGGTCTCATCCGCCTGCACAGCTGAGTCCAGTGGGAGCTGACGCCATGACCCTCACCCTCTCAGTCCTGATTTGCCTCGGTGAGGTTTGAAGAGGGGGAAGGAAGGTCCCCGTCTTGGAGGGAGCTCACTCTAAAGCGAGGCTCTGGTCTATCAGAGAATCTGGTCTATCAGAGGCTCCGAGGGAGGAGAGGAACTGCTGGGGCTTCCAGGGGCAAATCCCTCACAGGGAACTCTCTTCCAGGGCTGAGTGTGGGCCCCAGGACCTGCGTGCAGGCAGGTGAGTCTGTCCCCAGCTGTCCCAGGTCCCTTCTTCTCACTGGGGACAAGGGCCCAACCCCGGGCAGCTGGGGGTGGAGATAGCTGTTCTGGGCTGACTGATGGGGACGTCTGGAGGGTCCTGGGGCTGAGAGCTGGAATCTGAGGGATGGGGATGTCTTGGGATCCAGCCTCTGATTCCATTCTAGGCACCCTCCCCAAACCCACCCTCTGGGCTGAGCCAGCCTCTGTGATAGCTCGGGGGAAGCCCGTGACCCTCTGGTGTCAGGGGCCCCTGGAGACTGAGGAGTACCGTCTGGATAAGGAGGGACTCCCATGGGCCCGGAAGAGACAGAACCCACTGGAGCCTGGAGCCAAGGCCAAGTTCCACATTCCATCCACGGTGTATGACAGTGCAGGGCGATACCGCTGCTACTATGAGACCCCTGCAGGCTGGTCAGAGCCCAGTGACCCCCTGGAGCTGGTGGCGACAGGTGAGAGGACACTCAGGGGTCCCAGCCCCAGGCTCTGCCCTCAGGAAGAGGGTCGGCTCTTAGGGACGTCTACCTCTCACAGCCCAGCCCTGGGGATGATGTGGGAGGTCGGAGCCCCACTTAAGACGTGCCTCCTTCTCTGCTAGGATTCTATGCAGAACCCACTCTTTTAGCCCTGCCGAGTCCTGTGGTGGCCTCAGGAGGAAATGTGACCCTCCAGTGTGATACACTGGACGGACTTCTCACGTTTGTTCTTGTTGAGGAAGAACAGAAGCTCCCCAGGACCCTGTACTCACAGAAGCTCCCCAAAGGGCCATCCCAGGCCCTGTTCCCTGTGGGTCCCGTGACCCCCAGCTGCAGGTGGAGGTTCAGATGCTATTACTATTACAGGAAAAACCCTCAGGTGTGGTCGAACCCCAGTGACCTCCTGGAGATTCTGGTCCCAGGTGAAAAAGCCACCACACTTCTTTATATAATTTTGGGGAACCAGATAGGTTGTTGGGAGTTTGGTTGATGACTGATCATGGCAAGGACCCCAGAAGGATGTGTTGATGGATGGGCTGAAGGCGTGAGGAAGACCCCACGGGGAGGCTCAGATGGGGAAACAGGAGCCTGAGTCACCCTCACCTGGAAGGGGTCGACTCAGGAAGGCAATGGGTGTATTTGCTGCAATTTCCTGTCCCTCAATGAGGAGAGGACAGACCAGACAGACAGTGGCCAGGAGTCAGAGAGACACTATCGGTCTGGAACTACTCCAAGACAGACCCAGGTGAGAAGGAGGCCCCGGGATCCGAGACACAGAGCGTGAGAGACAGTGAGACCTGCAGGGCCAGGACGCCAGGACGGGAGAAGGAAGGGGCGGGGGAGGAACCAGCCTTCCAAGTCCCAATTCCTCTTTCCCTCCAGGCGTGTCTAGGAAGCCCTCCCTCCTGATCCCGCAGGGCTCTGTCGTGGCCCGCGGAGGCAGCCTGACCCTGCAGTGTCGCTCTGATGTCGGCTATGACATATTCGTTCTGTACAAGGAGGGGGAACATGACCTCGTCCAGGGCTCTGGCCAGCAGCCCCAGGCTGGGCTCTCCCAGGCCAACTTCACCCTGGGCCCTGTGAGCCGCTCCCACGGGGGCCAGTACAGATGCTACGGTGCACACAACCTCTCCCCTAGGTGGTCGGCCCCCAGCGACCCCCTGGACATCCTGATCGCAGGTGAGGAGCCCAGCGGGTTCAGTCAGGGACCCAGGCTCTGCACAGGTCCTGCCGGGGGAATCCAATTAGTGATGGCCGGGATGAGGCGGGGGGGTGGTCCCAAGGGAGGGAGAGACAGACAGAGACAGGGGATGGGTGGGGAGGGGAAGACTCAGAGAAAACAGAGACAGAGGCTCCTAGAGAGGCCTGGGGAGGTCTCAGCTCAGAGCAAGGTGGGGCAGCCCCTCACCCATCCTTCTTCTCTCCAGGACTGATCCCTGACATACCCGCCCTCTCGGTGCAGCCGGGCCCCAAGGTGGCCTCAGGAGAGAACGTGACCCTGCTGTGTCAGTCATGGCATCAGATAGACACTTTCTTTTTGACCAAGGAGGGGGCAGCCCATCCCCCGCTGTGTCTAAAGTCAAAGTACCAGTCTTATAGACACCAGGCTGAATTCTCCATGAGTCCTGTGACCTCAGCCCAGGGTGGAACCTACCGATGCTACAGCGCAATCAGGTCCTACCCCTACCTGCTGTCCAGCCCTAGTTACCCCCAGGAGCTCGTGGTCTCAGGTGAGGGCCCTGACCCTGTCCTGTCCAAGCTCAAAGGCTCAGCTCAGGCCCTGCCCCCAGGAGAGCTCTGGGCTGGGATGGAGTCGCGGTGCGGGGGGGAGGGTTTGAGGGGGGCTCAGCCAGAGGGAGACTCACCCCTCAGAGGGGAGGAGGACAACGGGGGCTCCCCAGGCATGCCCACACTTGGCCCCATCTCCTGGGATGCAAATGGTGAAAGGTGAGCAGAAGAAAGTTTCCAGAGAAGCCACGGGCAGGTGGAGGGACGGGTTTCCTCACTCAGCACCAAAGCGCCTCGCTCCCTTTCTGTGCTTATTCCCAGGACCCTCTGGGGATCCCAGCCTCTCACCTACAGGCTCCACCCCCACACCTGGTGAGTCACTGAGGCCTCTGGGCTCGGAGGGAGCGTGGTCTCCCCCCAGGCAGCCCTGAGTCTCCCCGAGGATCCTATTCCCCTCAAAGACTCAAGCGGGAGCTTCCCTCCAGGGAGCTGGGCAGAGCCAGAGGAGGGGCCACAGGCTCCCCGGGGCTCTGAGGCTGGGCCGGTGAGGGGGCGGGCGTCGAGGCAGAGAGAGATGTTGGGTGTTGGGGCCCAGCCTGGGGGAGGAGCAGCCGGGCTGATGTGGGGAGCAGGGCAGCCCCAGCCCTCACCTCCCCGTCCTGACCCAGCAGGCCCTGAGGACCAGCCCCTCACCCCCACGGGGTTGGATCCCCAGAGTGGTGAGTGAGGGGCTCTGAGTGGGAGGTGGGCGGAGACCAGGGGAGGCAGGGGTGGGTTCTGTCGTAGGTTCAGGCTCCTCTGGAGATGGTGAAGTGCACAAGCCCTTCCCCTGCCTGGGCCTCAGTTTCTCCAAGTGTAAAGGAGAGAGGCCTGCATTGATGGGATTCTTCAGGGGACTGTCCTGTCCCACCGGCAGCAGTGACGGTGACCTGGGGCAGGGGAGGGGAGCAGGGCCGTGGTTTGGGGCATTCAGGCTCTTTCCCTGCAGCTCCGGGGCTCCGCTCAGGTGCAGAGAACAAGGGCTGCGGGTCAGACTCCTGGGTTCACTTCCCAGCTCTGCCGCATCCCACCGTGGGCCCAGGCAGGTCAACTTTCTACTCTGACTCAGTTTCAGCAGCTGTAAACTGGCTCAGTCCCATCCAGCTCACAGAACTGCTGCGAGGCGTAAGCAAAATCATGGGACCTGGCCCTGTACACAGCTCGGCAGGGGCACCGTCCTCCTGCTACCCTCAGCCCTTCCCAGATACACACAGAGCCCCTATCCAGACAGGTTCTGCATGGGAGTATGGGAACTTGGCAGAGTGGGAAACGGACCTGGCTGAGCTGGGAGTGAGAGCAATGCAGGGTCCGTCCTGCACAACCCACTCCCTCTCCCAGGCCCTGCTGTGCTGGGGAAGGGAGGATCCTAAGAAGGACACCAGCCCCAGATGGAGACACTAGGACAGGCCCCTCCTGTCAAATAGGAAACAGGTGTGCACCTGGTGGGGCAGCAGGAGGACAGCTGGGGAAAACACAAAGTCCCTGGTTCCCTTCCCAGACCTGCTTCTTCCAGGCTGAGGAGCCTGGGGCAGGCGATTCCCCTCTCTGAGCCTCAGTTTGCTCCTCTGTGAATTGGGGGGTTGGCAATCCCATGTTGCACAACTGCTGTGAGGGTTGGAGCTCATGAAGGAAAGACCTAGCTCGCGCCTGCACACAGAAGGTGCTCACATCAATGACGTCATCCCCATTCCCAACGTCATCACGCTCAAGGTCTGGGAAGGCACCTGGGGGTTGTGACTGGGGTCTCAGTGGCCTTCGTCCTGCTGCTGTTCCTCCTCCTCTTCCTCCTCCTCCGACATCGGCATCAGAGCAAACACAGGACATCGGGTGAGTAGGGAATGGGGGAACCCGTGGGCCGACCGAGGGTGGGCTCGGGGCACCAGCCAGAGGGAAACCAAACACAAAGGAAAGTCAGCTTAGAAAAACTGCTCCAGAAATTCCCAGGTGAAAAATCGATCGAGAAAGAAGAGAATAAATGTGAGCATGTGTGGAAGTGCTTGATTCTTCTGATTTTACTTTAAACTTACGACGTATTTAAAGCCTCAGTGCCAGTGGGCCTCCAGGTTTCCTTCTTTCCGCTCGAGTTGTGTGTGCAGGGCAGCTGGTTCGAATTCTCCCAGGCCTGACCCTCTGTCCATCTCTGTCCAGCCCATTTCTACCGTCCTGCAGGGGCTGCGGGGCCAGAGCCCAAGGACCAGGGCCTGCAGAAGAGGTAATTCTGCATGAAGACCCAAGACTCCCATCCACCCGCACAGCCCCCTCACTGCCCCTCACACTCCCGTGTCCTCCCCCAGGGCCAGCCCAGTTGCTGACATCCAGGAGGAAATTCTCAGTGAGTGACTAGAAGCGGAGGGCACCTGGGGTGGGCAAGGGAGCACCAAAGTTTCTGTAGCAATGGGGGCAGGAGCACAGGCTGGGGGGGGTCTGGGGCCAAGGGGGAGGCGGTCTGAACCCACACTGTGGGACCTCAGGGACATCACAGTCCCTCCCTGGATCTCAGCCACCCTAGTGGGAACAGGGCAAGGGCTGGCAGGACGGAGAAGTCTCAGAGAACCTTCCCAGGAGATGAACCCCTTGCTCTGGCCCAGCAGATGCTGCCGTGAAGGACACACAGCCCAAGGACGGGGTGGAGATGGATGCTCGGGTGAGGCCCCGCCCCTGTCCCGGGCACCAAAGGCCTCCTGGTGCCAGATCTAATCCAGCAGGACTTCTCTGTCCTCCTTCCCCCGGCTCTCAGCATCGTCACGGTGGACCCCTCCTTGTCCAGCACGCTGCCTCCCGCCTGCTGCGACCTCACTCTCTTCTGCTGTCCTGGGACCTCGTGGGCCTCCTCCCGGGTCCCCTTCCTGCTCCTCATCCTCTGTTTGGCCGTCTGGTTGTTAGAGCTCTCCCCAGGCCTCAGGAGGATGAGGAATAAATGAACCGACCCGGTCCCCCAGGCTCCCCTTCATTCATTCAACCAGCGAGTGTTCCCAGGGAGCTCACTGTGGATGGGGCTCCCCATGGGAGCTGCAGACACAGCAGGGAGCAAAGCCGCCCCCGCCTCCTGAGCTCACCTCATGGTGGGAGACAAAATGCAAATAAATGCATCGTGTCCAGGAGTGCAACGTGCTGTAAGGAACATAAACCAGGGAAAGGGCAGAGAGTGTGGGGCAGTGGGGCCAGTCTGAATGGAAGGGGAGGGCTGTCTGCTCAGCTGTCATCTGAGAAGCCTGGACAGAGTGGGGCACACGATCCTCTGATGGACGAGCCCCTGCAGGCAGAGGAAACAGCCGTGCAAAGGCCCCGAGGCAGCAGCGAGCTCTTGCGGGAAGGCCCGTGAGGCTGCAGCCAAATGGGCAAGGTCAGAGTGAGGAGCAGAGGCCAGAACCACAGGGAGGGAGCGGCCAGACCCTCCACGGCCTTAGGGCGTCCCTGAGATTCCATCAGGAAAGGGATGTAATCGGATCACCCCGGGAACAGTGAGGAAAATTGACTCCAGGAGGTCAGGGGGACTCAAGGACACCCCCCACCACTGTCTCTCTCCAGCAGAGCCCACACGATGAAGACCCCCAGGCAGTGACGTATGCCCCGGTGAAACACTCCAGACCTAGGAGAGAAATGGCCTCTCCTCCTTCCCCACTGTCTGGGGAATTCCTGGACACAAAGGACAGACAGGCAGAAGAGGACAGACAGATGGACACTGAGAGAGTCCTTTCCTCTCCAGGCCCCCAGGCCTCCCCCACCCCCACCACGTTCCTTCCCTCTCACTCTCCCCCGCTGCAGGCTGCTGCATCTGAAGCCCCCCAGGATGTGACCTACGCCCAGCTGCACAGCTTGACCCTCAGACGGGAGGCAACTGAGCCTCCTCCATCCCAGGAAAGGGAACCTCCAGCTGAACCCAGCATCTACGCCCCCCTGGCCATCCACTAGCCCACGGGGGACCCAGATCTCATACTCAACAGAAGGAGACTCAGAGACTCCAGAAGGCACAGGAGCTGCCCCCAGTGGACACCAATGAACCCCAGCCAGCCTGGACCCCTAACAAAGACCACCAGGACATCCTGGGAACTCTGGGACTCACTAGATTCTGCAGTCAAAGATGACTAATATCCTTGCATTTTTGAAATGAAGCCACAGACTTCTCAATAAATCAATGAGCTGAGAAAACTGAAACAGAAATTAGAGCATGGTATAAATTTGGAATGATAATGTAAATATTACACATTAAATGATGAAATCGGAAAACTACAAATGAGCGAATGAATTAGAAAAGAATAAAACCTACGTAATTAATGACCTTGGCAATGACAGAAAGAATTTAGAAAAAGAACAACAAATTATTCCAAATGAAGGTGTGAGGAAGGGGACAAAAATAACAAGAGGAGTTACTAATGAGGGCTACGTGAAAACTCGATGAAGCCAAAAAAGCTCATTCTTGAGAATGTGAATTACATTCACAAATCCTAGCCACAATAAGCAAGGAAAAAAGCGGGGTTCAGGCACACATTTCCATATGGGGGTGAAACAGCAGACACCACCACAAATCTGACACATATTGCCTTTATTTTTTTCACTTTTAAGTTCAGGGATACATGTGCAGGTTTGTTAGACAGATAAACTTGTGTCAAGGGGATTTGTCTTGGTTTTTGTGTGAGGGTTTTTGTTTTGTTTTGTTTTGTTTTTTGAGACGGAGTCTCGCTCTATCACCAGGCTGGAGTACAGTGGAGTGATCTCGGCTCACTGCAACCTCTGCCTCCCGGGTTCAAGCGATTCTCCTGCCTCAGTCTCCCGAGTAACTGGGACTACAGGCACCTGCCACCACGCCCGGCTAATTTTTGTATTTTTAGTAGAGACAGGGTTTCTCCATGTTGGTCAGGCTGGTCTCAAACTCCCGACCTCAGGTGATCCGCCCGCCTCAGCCTCCCAAAGTGCTGGGCTTACAGGCGTGAGCCACCACGTCCAGCCCATACATTTCAATTTTAAAGGGATGCGCCCTAGTCCTTAGTTAGTCTCTCCTCATCTCTATAAAATGTTCAGCTACTCACCTCTTGGGCTATTGCTAGACATCGTTTTCTCTTCCTTCTTTCTGACGCCTACAATAGATAGGACATTCCCCCTCCTCATTCTATTCTCCCAAGTACTTTAAATTGCAATTTATAAAGTTTCTATGCTACACTCTAAAAAAAATTCTGTTTTGTTTTCTAATTTCATAATTGGTGCTTCACTGTGTCTTGTCCTCGAAGGAATGAGTATTTTGATTGTGTTCATTAAATCTGATTTTTCTATGTCTTCTAATTATTTTATATAATATTCATTCTGCTGTAGAAAAAAAAATCATATAATCCTGCCTCAGAAATTCAATGTCCTCTGTATTTCTCAAATATTTAAACATGTTTAACCTAAGATGGGTCTCACACATTCCTAGTACTCCTTTTGACCATGATAATCCTCATTAGTGAGTGTGGATTGTCAACCATAGCACTTTGTGTTTGATTTTTTGGTTTGTTTTTTGTTTTTATTTATTTATTTATTTATTTTTTGAGACGGAGTCTCACTCTGTCACCCAGGCTAGAGTGCAGTGGCGTGATCTCAGCTCACTGCAACCTCTGTCTCCTGAGTTCAAGCAACTCTCCTACCTTAGCCTCCCGAGTAGCTGGGACTACAGGTGCCCGCCACCACAACCAGCTAATCTTTTTTTTTTTTTTTTTTTGTATTTTTAGTAGAGATGGGGTTTCACCGTGTGGCCAGGATGGTCTCGATCTCTTGACCTCATGATCTGCCTGCCTCGGCCTCCCAAAGTGCTGGGATTACAGGCGTGAGCCACCACGCCCAGCCTGTGTTTGTTTTTGAGACAGGTTCTTGCTCTGTCACCCAGGCTAAAGTGCAGTGGCGCACCACCCCAGTTCACTGCAACCTCCGCCTGCCAGACTCAAGCGATCTTCGACCTCAGGCTCCTAAGTAGCTGGAACTACAGGTGTGCACCACCACACCCAGTTCATTTTTGTCTTTTTAGTAGAGATGGGGTTTCACCATGTTGCCCAGGCTGGTCTCGAACTCCTGGGCTCCAGCGATCTGCCCACCTCGGCCTCCCAGAGCGCTGGGAAAATAGGCGTGAGCCATCGCAGGCAGCCAGTCATAGCACTTTTTATCATTAGGATGATTCCTCTTTCTTCTCATTCTTGGACACTCATCTCCCAGTGCCTCATCTGCCAGAGAGGGTTTCTACCAGGGCTGCACTGGGCGTTAGGCTTGAAAAGAGGAGGACGGCACCACCTGCCCGGGTCTTGTGAGTCTGCTCAGGCCTGTAACCAGCAGGGGAGGGTCCAGTGTGAACCTCATGTCTGACAACTCTACAATGAATCTATTTCACACACACAGAGGGGGAGGCTCAGGGCTGACCATAAACCTGAGTCAATGAGCAGAGATACCCCAGTGCCATCCACAAACACAGGGGACGAGGAGCCACAACTTCCCACTTTCACCCAAAACCCCAACCCCTCCCTGACTGTGAGGGCCCTGGGGTTCTCCTCTGTCTCATATAGAGGCGGAAACCTCCCTTTTAGTGATTCCCTGACATTGCAAGTCACCAGAAGCCAACTCAGCTCTGACCTCGCTGCTTCCTGAGGTTTCCTGCCTGTGTCAGGAAGTTTCATTTCTCATTTCCTTCTATGGCTGCGTATTTCAGAAACATGTATTAGTCAGGGTTCTCTAGAGGGGCAGAACTAACAGGATAGATGTATATATAAAGGGGAGTTTATTAAGGAGTATTGATCCACACGATCACAAGGTGAGGTCCCACAATAGACTGTCTGTAAGCTGAGGAGCAAGGAAGCTAGTCCGAGTACCAAAACCTCAGAAGCCGAGAAGCCGACAGTGCAGCCCTTCAGTCTGTGGTCAAAGGCTCTGCATGGGAAGGTCAGGGATTGGCAGAGTAGGAGATGGACCTGGCTGGGCTGGGGGTGAGAGCAATGCAGGGTCCGTCCTGTACAGCCCACTCCCTCCCCCAGGCCCTGCTGTGCTGGGGAAGGGAGGGTTGTAAGGAGGACACAGCCCCAGATGGAGACACTAAGACAGGCCCCTGCTGTCAGATGAGAAGACCCAGAGCAGGAAGCAGGTGTCCACCTGGTGGGGCAGCAGGAGGACAGCTGGGGAAAACACAAGGTCCCAGGTTCCCCTCCCAGACCTGCTTCTTCCAGGCTGGGGGGCCTGGGGCAGGCGATTCCCCCCTCTGAGCCTCAGTTTGTGCATCTGTGAAATGGGTTGGGGGGTTGGCAATCCCACGTTGCACGACTGCTGTGAGGGTTAGAGCTCATGAAGACCCAGCACGCGCCTGCACACAGTAGGTGCTCACATCAGCGATGTCATCCTCATTCCCGACGTCATCACGCGCAAGGTCTGGGAAGATACCTGGGGGTTGTAACCGGGGTCTCAGTGGCCTTTGTCCTGCCGCTCGTCCTCCTCCTCCAATGTCGGCGTCAGAGCAAACACAGGACATTGGGTGAGCAGGGACTGGGGGAACCTGTGGGCCCACCGAGGGTGGGATCAGGGCACCAACCAAAGGGGAACCAAACACACAAGAAAGTCAGCTTAGAAAAACAGCTCCAGAAAGTCCCAGCTGAAAAATCTAGAAAGAAGAGAATAAATATGAGTGTATGTGCAAGTAATTTATTCTTTGAGCTTTTTATTTTATTTTATTTGAGACGTGATCTGGCTCTGTCACCCAGGCTGGAGTGCAGTGGTGTGATCTCGGCTCGCTGCAACCTCCACCTCCCAAGATCCTCAATGATCCTCCTACCTCAGCCTCCTGAGTAGCTGGGACTACAGGCCCCTATCACCACGCCAGGCTAATTATTTTTTTGCGGGGGAGAGATGGGGGGTCTCACTATGTTGCCGAGGCTGGTCTCAAACTCCTGAGTTCAAGCAATCCACCCGCCTCAGCCTTCCAAAGTGCTGGGATTATAGGCATGAGCCATTCGGCCCAACGTCTTCGGGCCTTTTTAAGTGTATCCAGTATTTAAAACAACTATGCCTGTAATCGCAGTACTTTGGAAGGCTGAGGCAGGTGGATGGCTTGAGCCCAGGAGTTTCAGAGGACTCTGGGCAATGTGGTGAGACCCCATCTCTACAAAAAAAATTAAAAATGCAAATAAGCCAGGTTTGGTGGTGTGCACCCGTGGTCCCAGCTACTCAAGACGCTGAGGCAGGAGGATCACTTGACCCTATGAGGTCAAGGCTGCAGTGAGCTGGGATCGCACCACTGTGCTCCAGCCTGGGCGACAGAGCGAGACCTTGTCTCAAAAAAAAAAAAAAATATATATATATATATATATATATATGGGTGTGTTTTCAAGTTTCATTTTTTCCCCTAAAGTCGCATGTACTGGGTGGGTGGTTCTAAGGTTCCCAGGGCTGAGACTTTGTCCTTCTTCACCTAGCCCAGAGAGAGGCTGATTTCCAACACCCTGCAGGGGCCGTGGGACCAGAGCCCAAGAACAGGGGTCTGCTGAGGAGGTAATTCTGCCCAAAGACCCCAGACTCCCACACTCCACCACACCACACTCTCGTGTCCTCCCCCAGGTCCAGCCCAGCTGCTGACATCCAAGAAGAAAACCTCAGTGAGTAAGAGGAAGAGGGGGTGCACCTGGGGTGCAGATGGGGACCCTGCAGTTTCACTAGTAACAGGAAGGGGCTGGGAAGGGTCTGGGGCTCAGGGGAACATGGTTCACTTCATACTGTGGAACCTCAGGGACATCACACCCGCTCCCTAGATCTCAGCAGTCCCACTGGGAGCAGGACAGGGGGAGGTGGTACTGAGAGGTCCCAGGGAAACTTACCAGGAGACGAACCCCTTGCTTTGCCCCAGCAGACCCTGCTGCGAATTTTTTTTTTTTTTTTTTTTTGAGATGGAGTCTCGCTCTGTCACCCAGGCTGGAGTGCAGTGGCGCGATCTCGGCTCACTGCAAGCTCCGCCTCCCGGGTTCATGCCATTCTCCTGCCTCAGCCTCCCGAGCAGCTGGGACTACAGGTGCCCGCCACCACGCCCGGCTAATTTTTTGTATTTTTAGTAGAGACGGTTTTCACCGTGTTAGCCAGGATGGTCTCGATCTCCTGACCTCGTGATCCGCCCGCCTTGACCTCCCAAAGTGCTGGGATTACAGGCGTGAGCCACCATGTCCCGCCTGAAAGTGAGACTTTTAACAGGGTCTTGCAAAATTGGATGTCTGCTAGGTAGGCATAGCCGGGGCAGTCACAGCAGGTAATTTATCTCTTGGCACTCAACTATCCCTTCCCCAGTTCCTCACTGGTCGAGTACTATGAGGTTACAATCTTCCCAGACTTCGCCTGAGTTTCATTATCCCCCTTATAAGGTTGTACCCCGTCCCCTTCCCCGCTTAAGTTGCGATTTCCCAATGACAAAATTTTTTTCCCTTTTATGGGCTGACCGCCTCCTCCCCCACAACCCCCCGCCATTCTGTTCACTTATTGTGATTTGCTAGG
Organism: Homo sapiens; assembly: GCF_000001405.40. NCBI lineage: Eukaryota > Metazoa > Chordata > Mammalia > Primates > Hominidae > Homo > Homo sapiens. Next base: position 220,185 of record NW_003571060.1, on the reverse strand, counting down.
AGCATGAGCCATGCGGTTTGTTACATCCGCAGACTGGCTGCCAATACTTGGATATCATGCCTTGAAAATGGACCCTTTAAAATGTGTTCTCACAAATTCCCTCCTCTTTTTTATTTACTTCCTTTGGTCTCATTTTCATTTGAACCCTTCTGGTGCTTGAATCGCTTTAGAAGTTGTTTACTTTCTTTTTTTCTTTTTCTTTTTCTTTTTTTTTTTTTTTTTTTTTTTGAGACAGAGTCTTGCTGTGTGGCCCAGGCTGGAGTGCAGTGGTGCCATCTCAGCTCACTGCAATGTCCGCCTCCTGGGTTCCAGCGATTCTCCTGCCTCAGCCTCCCGAGTAGCTGGGATTACAGGCGTGCACCACCATACCCAGCTAATTGTTTTTGTATTTTTAGGAGAGATAGGGTTTCACCATATTGGCCACGCTGGTCTCAAACTCCTGACCTCAGGTCATCCGCCCACCTCGGCCTCCCAAAGTGCTGGGATTACAGGCATGAGCTACCACGCCCGGTCAAATTTTTCACTTTATGGCTACATAGTAGGTGTATATATTTATTAAATTACTTTTCGATGGTATTAATTCAATTTACTATTTTTCACCTTCACGACGTCTGTCTAATGCATTTCAACAACTGTCTGTGTTTTCCTCACGTATCTTGGTTGTCATTCCTGTGGGACAGCTCCTCCCACGCACCTGGCCTTTCAAAAAGGGTTTCTCCCACGGCTGTCCAGGCATCAGCCTGATGAAGGGGATTGTTGCCGCTGCTCCTGCCCCACTCCCCCAAACTCAGTGTCAGCTCAAGATTGTGCCCAGCAGGGATGGGACCAACGCCAGCCTCACACTCACCTGTGGGGCAGACGCCCATGTCTGACCACCGTGGATCGAATCTGTTTCTCACACACAGGGGAGGGGCTGAGCGCTGACCGTGGCCTCCAGTGAGTGAGCAGAGACCCCCCAGCGCCTGTCCACACACACAGGGGAGGGGGAGCCACAGCTTCCAGCCTCACCCAGAGCCCTGACCCCTCCCTGCCTGGGAGGACGTGGGGTTCCTCTTCTGTCCCACATGGAGGTGGGAGCCTCCTCCTCCCTAATGACGCTCGGTGGTCCCAGACACCTGTGGCCACTCAGCATTGAACTCTGCTCATGGAAGGGGATGCGTCTCAATGTGAGGAACTGTTTTTCCTCTTTCTCGGCCTGTGGCTGTGATGATCTGCATATTTCAGACGTATCACAAGGAGAATTTCATGGTATTTGGAGCCGATGTGGGCTCTTGAGTGGGGGCGTCAATCATCCTCCTCGACTGTGAAGCCCAGCACCAGGATCCTCTCCCGTCCCCACCCTCCTGTCTGAACTGGTCTGGAAATTCACCATGGCTGAGCCTCCCATGTCCTGGGCACCACTGACCCCCACAGCCACTGTGATGAGTGGGGTTCATGACAGCAGGCTCAGAGGTGACATTCATGTCCAAAGTCACATAAACCCTAGATGATAATCAGGAATTAAATACAAATCAGCTCACCTTCCCCAGAATCAGATTATAGATTACAATGAAACATATATATATATATTTCTCTTTACCCCCTCTATTTCTCCTTTTTAGACAGGATCTTGCTCTGTCGCCCAGGCTGGAAGGCCAAGGGGTGATCATAGCTCCCTGAAGCCTCCGCCTCCCGGGCCCAAGTGATCCTCCCACCTCAGCCTCCTGAGTAGCTGGGACCACAGGCATGAGCCTCCATGCCCAGCTCACTTTTTTCTTTTCTGTAGAAACAGGGTCACAGTCTGTTTCCCAGGACTGTCTGAAGCTCCTGGCCTCAAGCCATCACCCGCCACAGCCTCCTGAAGTACTGGGATTCCAGGCATGAGCCACCACGGTAGACCCTGCATTTCTCTGTGCTCACTGCTACACGCAGCTCAGCCTGGACTACACAGCCAGGTGTCAGGTGCGTCTCTGCTGATCTGAGTCTGCCTGCAGCATGGACCTGGGTCTTCCCTGAAGCATCTCCAGGGCTGGAGAGACGACTGCCATGGTAAGGACCCCGTAACGCTGAGCTGATGGACGGGCTGAAGGAGGGAGGGAGACCCCATGGGGAGGCTCTGAGAGGGAGGAGGAGCCCACGGTCACCCTCGCCTCAAAGGGGCTGACTCAGGAAGGCACCAGGTCTATTTGCGGCTGTGTCCCCGTCCTCAGTGAGATAAAGATAAATCAGGCAGACAGTGGCCCGGGGGCAGTGAGACCCCATTTCTCTCTGAAATGCCTGCAGAGAGCCTGGTGCCTGCCCCCACTTCAGCCCTGGGGAAATCAGAGCCAGGTTCCTGGGGTGGCAGTTCCTCTTCCTGTGGGCTGAGGATGAGACAACCCCATGACAAGAAGGACCCAGCCTCCGAGCGGCCACACCCTGTGTGTCTCTCTGTCCTGCCAGCACTGAGGGCTCATCCCTCTGCAGAGCGCGGGGTCACCGGGAGGAGACGCCATGACGCCCGCCCTCACAGCCCTGCTCTGCCTTGGTGAGATTTCAAGATGGGGAGGGGGAGATCCGAGTCTTGGAGGAACCCCACCCCACACACAAGCCCTGGTCCATCAGGAGACCTCAAAAGCTCAGGAGGCACCCGGGCGGGGACCTGCTCAGGCTTCAGGGCAAATGCCTCACAGGGAACTCTCTTCCAGGGCTGAGTCTGGGCCCCAGGACCCGCGTGCAGGCAGGTGAGTCTGTCCCCAGCTGTCCCAGGTCCCTACTCCTCACTGGGACAGGGGGCCACCCATGGGCAGCTGGGGGAGGAGACAGTAGTTCTGGGTGACTGATGGGGATGATGGGGAAGTCCTGGGGCTGGGAGCTGGGATCTGAGCGTGGGGATGTCTTGGGATCCAGCCTCTGATTTCCATCTAGGGCCCTTCCCCAAACCCACCCTCTGGGCTGAGCCAGGCTCTGTGATCAGCTGGGGGAGCCCCGTGACCATCTGGTGTCAGGGGAGCCTGGAGGCCCAGGAGTACCAACTGGATAAAGAGGGAAGCCCAGAGCCCTTGGACAGAAATAACCCACTGGAACCCAAGAACAAGGCCAGATTCTCCATCCCATCCATGACACAGCACCATGCAGGGAGATACCGCTGCCACTATTACAGCTCTGCAGGCTGGTCAGAGCCCAGCGACCCCCTGGAGCTGGTGATGACAGGTGAGAGGACACTCTGGGGTCCCAGCCCCAGGCTCTGCCCTCAGGAAGGGGGTCGGCTCTCAGGGGCGTCTCCCTCTCACAGCCCAGCCCTGGGGATGATGTGGGAGGTGGGAGCCCCATTTAACACGGTGCCTCCTTCTCTCCTAGGATTCTACAACAAACCCACCCTCTCAGCCCTGCCCAGCCCTGTGGTGGCCTCAGGGGGGAATATGACCCTCCGATGTGGCTCACAGAAGGGATATCACCATTTTGTTCTGATGAAGGAAGGAGAACACCAGCTCCCCCGGACCCTGGACTCACAGCAGCTCCACAGTGGGGGGTTCCAGGCCCTGTTCCCTGTGGGCCCCGTGACCCCCAGCCACAGGTGGAGGTTCACATGCTATTACTATTATACAAACACCCCCCAGGTGTGGTCCCACCCCAGTGACCCCCTGGAGATTCTGCCCTCAGGTGAGGGAGCCACGGCCTTGTCTAACACACTTTCGGGGCAGCTGACAGGTTGTGGGGAGTTTGGCTGGTGACTGAATCTGGAAAGGACCCAGAGTGATGTGTTGAAGGACGGGCTGAAGGCATGAGGGAGACCCCATGGGGAGGCTCTGACATGGGAGGAGGAGCCCTTGACCACGTTCACCTGGAAGGGGAGGACTCAGGAAGGCATCGGTGTGTTTGCTGTGAGGTCCCAGCTCTCAGGGAGAGGAGGAAAGATCAGGCACAGTGGCCAGGGCTAGGGAGACCCCACTCCTCTGAAATGACTCCAAGACAGCCCCGGGTGAGAAGGAGGCCCTGGGGTCAGAGACTCAGAGCGTGAGAGACAGTGAGACCTGCAGGGCCAGGACGGGAGAAGGAAGGGGCGTGGGAGGAACCAGCCCTCTCAGTCCTGGCTCCTCTTTCCCTCCAGGCGTGTCTAGGAAGCCCTCCCTCCTGACCCTGCAGGGCCCTGTCCTGGCCCCTGGGCAGAGCCTGACCCTCCAGTGTGGCTCTGATGTCGGCTACGACAGATTTGTTCTGTATAAGGAGGGGGAACGTGACTTCCTCCAGCGCCCTGGCCAGCAGCCCCAGGCTGGGCTCTCCCAGGCCAACTTCACCCTGGGCCCTGTGAGCCCCTCCCACGGGGGCCAGTACAGGTGCTATGGTGCACACAACCTCTCCTCCGAGTGGTCGGCCCCCAGCGACCCCCTGAACATCCTGATGGCAGGTGAGGAGCCCAGCGGGTTCAGTCAGGGACCCAGGCTCTGCACAGGCCCTGCCGGGGGAGCCCAGGTGGTGATGGCCGGGATGAGGGGTGGGGGTCCCAAGGGAGGGAGAGACAGACAGAGACAGGGGATGGGCGGGGAGGCGAGACTCAGAGAAAACAGGGACAGAGACACTGAGGGTCCCAGGGAGAGGCCTGGGGAGGTGTCAGCTCAGAGCAAGGTGGGGCAGCCCCTCACCCATCCTTCTTCTCTCCAGGACAGATCTATGACACCGTCTCCCTGTCAGCACAGCCGGGCCCCACAGTGGCCTCAGGAGAGAACGTGACCCTGCTGTGTCAGTCACGGGGTTATTTTGACACTTTCCTTCTGACCAAAGAAGGGGCAGCCCATCCCCCACTGCGTCTGAGATCAATGTACGGAGCTCATAAGTACCAGGCTGAATTCCCCATGAGTCCTGTGACCTCAGCCCACGCGGGGACCTACAGGTGCTACGGCTCACGCAGCTCCAACCCCCACCTGCTGTCTCACCCCAGTGAGCCCCTGGAACTCATGGTCTCAGGTGAGGGCGCTGACCCCGTCCTCTCTGAGCTCAAAGGCTCAGCTCAGGCCCAGGCCCCCAGGAGAGCTCTCGGCTGGGATGGACCGAGGGAGGCTGTGAGGGAGGCTTAGCCAGAGGGCACCCAGCCCTCAGAGGGGAGGAGGCCAACAGGGGTTCTCCTAGGCGTGGCCACCCGTTCTCCCCTGCCTGGCATGCAGAAGGCACCAGGTGGGCAGAGAGATGGTTCCAGGGAATCCACTGGGCGGAAGCAGGAGAGTGGGAGTGGAAGGGTGCACTCCATGGACGGCCCCCGCCCCTCACCCGCCTCCCGTGCTCCTTCCAGGACACTCTGGAGGCTCCAGCCTCCCACCCACAGGGCCGCCCTCCACACCTGGTGAGTCACTGAGGCCTCGTGGGGAGCGCGGCCTCCCCCAGGGCAGTCTGAGTCTCCCAAAGGATCCCACTCCCCTCCCCTCAAGGACGGGCTTGTGTCCCAGGGGCTCTGAGGCTGGGCTGGTGAAGAGTGGGGGGTTCAAGGCAGAGAGAGATGTTGGGGCCCAGCCAGGAGGAGGAGCCGGGCTGATGTGGGGAGCAAGGTAGCCCCAGGCTTCACCTCCCTGTCCTGATCCAGGAGGTCCTGAGGACCAGCCCCTCAACCCCCCAGGGTCAGGCCAGTGACTCCCTGGAGCTCGTGGTCTCAGGTGAGGGCCCTGACCCTGTCCTCTCTGAGCTCAAATGCTCAGCTCAGGCTCTGCACCCAGGAGAGCTCTGGGACACTAGGAAAGAAGGGAGTGAAGGTGGAGAATCCAGCCCATGGGAGGGAGGAAATGGCTCAGGAGCAGCGTTGAAATTCATAGAACACAGGAAAACTGAAATAGTTTCATGAGGAGACTGGAGGGAGCCCTGCTGCAGGAGAGGGAGGGTTTATTGAGGAACTCCGTAAAAGCCACGTCGTGAGGCCTGGAAGAATAAGAACGCAGAGCCCAGGGGAGAGGCTGGCTCAGGGCTCTCCCCTTCTGTTTTGATTCTCAGGAGGAGCTGAGACCCTCACCCCATCACAAAACAAGTCAGACAGTTATGGGGCGGGCACAGAGGGTCAGGTTCTGTCAATGGCGGATGGGGGGTGCCCTGGGTTGGGCATCCAGGGGTCCTGGGTGAAGTTGATCTGCCCGGACCTCTGTGACCTCTTTGCCCACCATCCCCAGCCTCACACGCCAAGGATTACACAGTGGAGAATCTCATCCGCATGGGCATGGCAGGCTTGGTCCTGGTGTTCCTCGGGATTCTGTTATTTGAGGCTCAGCACAGCCAGAGAAACCCCCAAGATGCAGCCGGGAGGTGAACAGCGGAGAGGACAATGCACCCTTCAGCGTGGTGGAGCCTCAGGGACAGATCTGATGATCCCAGAAGGCTCTGGAGGACAATCTAGGACCTCCAGAGGGGGGTGAGATTTCAGGCCACACACTGTGGAAGGTAATCATGTCTGATCACAAATTTTGGGTCTCCACCTTACTTCCAATCTATGTTGTGAATGCCCAGTTGAGACCCACGGAAAAGAGCTCATGGGTGAGTGTGAAGTGCTTCTCTGTCTTAAGTTCCCAGAGATCCTTGCCTCTTGGAGGCCAGCAAACACTAACTCTTGAGGAATTCATGACAATATCATCTGATTCCTCCTTCCCAGCTTGTATGGCAGTCTCCCACCCTCATGTGTTCAATCTGATGATCCCAGGAGGTTCTGGAACAAAATCTACAGCCTATGCTTTCTGGACTATCTGTCGATCATTCCTGAAGAGAGGGATCAATGTTGAGGTATTCATTTCACATGATGAAAATGACAATATCAAATGTCAGAGGTAGTAGGGCTCACGTAGAAATCCAATACATCCATGGTAGGACTGCAAATTACTTGAATCAATTTGGGGAAAATATCAGAAGTACCCAGTGAAAAAGAAGAAACATGGCCGGGCGCGGTGGCTCATGCCTGTAATCCCAGCACTTTGGGAGGCTGAGGCGGGCGGACACGAGTTCAGGAATTCGAGTCCAGCTTGGCCAACATAGTGAAACCCCGTCTCTACTAAAAATACAAAACATTAGCTGGGCGTGGTGGCAGGTGCCTGTAATTTCAGCTACTCAGGAGGCTGAGGCAGGAGAATTGCTTGAACCTGGGAGACGGAAGCAAGTTGGCGCCAGTTGGTGCAGTGAGCCAAGGTGGCGCCATTGCACTCCGGCCCAGGTGACAGTACGAGACTTCATCTAAAAAAAAAAGAAAAAAAAAAAGAAGAGACACACAGCTATGAACACAAAGCACAGAACCTAGAGGAAAATGTGTTCATATGGTGAGGTTTCATTCACAACAACATGGACAGGACTGCTGCTCATATTACACAACAGCCATAAAACCCAAAAATACATCTAAAACAAAGGAAACATATGTGGTTCAATTCCACCAAGGGATACTACGAGGCCGTGCAGAGGCACAGACAAAATCTACAAAGAGCAATGCAAACCAACCTTCCATCATGATGTTGAGTAAAGAAACAAGAGTATAAAAAGAAGGTGTGCACATGAAGCTCAAAAAGAGGCAGCATTTATTTTCTAGGGAGGCAAACTCAAAATAGACCCCATAAATAAAGGAAATAGATTATGTAATCCAAAATAGTGCTTGCACATCAGGAAATACTGGAGGGTTCTGTTCAACATGGAAACTCCAAGGACCACTGGACGCGGGCACTGGAACGCTGACTTTCATTTGGTGACCCTCAATCCACTTCGAGTTATTGGTAAATCACATAATTTTAATTTGATACGGAATAATCATACATGTTTCTTGGGAGCATGTGGTAATCTGATTCATCCATGCAATGTGTAACGATCCAATAAAGGTTCCCAGGACATTCATCACCCTGAACATTTGTTATTATGGTTATTATTTTGAGACAGAGTCTTGCACTGTCGCCCAGCTGGCGTGCAGTGGCAGGATCTTGGCTCACTGCAAACTCTGCCTCCCGGGTTCAAGCAGTTTTCCTGTCTCAGCCTCCTGAGTAGCTAGGATTACAGGCATGCACCATCACACCTCGCTAATTTTTGTATTTTTATTACAGACGGGGTTTCACCATGTTGCTCTGGCTGGTCTCGAACTCCTGACCTAAGGTGATCCACCAGCGTCGGCTTTCCATAGTGCTGGGATTACAGGTGTGAGCCACTATGCCTGGCCAACTTTTATAATTTCTGTGCTGGGAACATTCCAAATCTTCATTTCTCACTCATGTGGAAAATACAATAATCTGTTGCTAACTATGGTCACCCTACTGAGCTCTCAGGCCCTGGAACTTACTCCTTCTCTCCACCTGTATTTCTGCACCCGTCCACCAACCTCTCTCCATCCCTGTCCTCCACACTCCCTTGCCAGCCTCTGTTGACAACCATTCTACTCTCTGCCATCACAAGGCCCACTTTTGTAGCTTCCGCGTGAGTGAGAACATGCTCCTCTTTCTGGGCCTGGCTTATTTCACTGAACATAATGTCTTCCAGATTCATCTGTGTTGCTGAACATGGTACAATTTCCTTCTTTTTATGCCTGAATATTATTTCATTGTGTATATAGACCACATGTTCCTTATCCATTCATCCATTGATGGACATAGGTTGATTCCATATCTTGGCTATTGTGAATACTGCTGCAATAAACATGGCAATGCAGACACCTCTTTGATATACTGATTTTCTTTCTTTTGGAAATATACCCATCTGTGCGATTACTGGATGGTGTGGTTGTTCTACTTTCAGTTTCTTGAGGAACCTCCATGCTGTTTTCCATATTGGCTGCACCAACTTGCGTTCCCACCAAGGTAGAAGGGTTTCTTTTCTCCATATCCTTGACAGCATCTGTTAATTTTTGTCTTAGAGATAACAGCCATTTTAACCAGGGAATAGCATATCTCTGTTTTTGTACCTATCTATCTTTATTTGTCATGCCATTTAGGGAGCTGAGATTGAAGTGTGGTGGTGAATGCCACAGGCTGCACTGGCCACTAAATGGCAAACCAGGTGGTTCTTGACCTGTCAGAGCAATGATCTCACAGGTTGACTTTGTGTTTCATTCACAACATGACACCCACCTGCCTGATCAACCTCACCTGAGTCCACGCAGACAATGAGCCACTTACCCAGGTAAGAATGGGCCTCAGAAAGGGAAACACCTTGTCCAGTACTTCATGACATGCACTTGACATTTTTAAGTGGCCATATAACTTTCTGATTTCATTATGTTGAAACCACCAGAACTGGGATGAAGGACACCAACATGGCCTTGGGGTTATTTCAGACATGAGGTTCAACCCAATCAGGTGGTGGTTTAGGATGATCACACAGGGCTTGGTTATTCCAGAGATGAGGTTCCATCCAATCAGGCGGTGGTTTAGGGATCACACAGGGCTTGGTTATTCCAGAAATGAGGTTCCACCCAATCAGGTGGTGGTTTAGGGATCACACAGGGCTTGGTTATTTCAGAGATGAGGCTCAACCCAATCAGGTGGTGTTTTAGGGATCACACTGGGATTGGTACCAAATGTGACAATGCTCCATGTGCCTGATCACCTCCTGGACCCCTCTGAGGTGGAAATCAGAGAAAGGCATTTGTGTGCAGCTGCTGTTCATTCCGGATTCCTTTCCTACATGGGAACTTACATGATGCTTGACCCTGAAGAACAGAACTGGCTGAAAAAGAATTCAGGAATGAAATCCCATTTATAATAGCCACAAACAATAAAAGACCTGCTAATAAATTTAACTGACAAGGTAAAAACCTCTACAAATAAAATTATAAAGCTCTAAGAAAAATTAAAGAGGACACGAAAAAACTGGAAAGATACCTCATGTTCACACGTTGAAACAATAAATGTTTACAAAAAGGACCATAGGACCCAAAGCTATCTACAGATTCATTGTAATTCCTATCAACATACAAGTGTCTTTCTTCACTGAAATATAAAAAATTCTAAAATTAATATAGAGCCATAAAATACCCAAAATAGCCAACGCAATGTAGAGAAAAAAAAACAAAGCTGGAGACATCACACTACCTGACTTCAAAATACACTACAAAGCTATAGTAACCAAAACAGTAAGGCACTGGCTTAAAAACAAACACATAGACAAATGGAACAGAACAAAGAACCTAGAAATAAATCCACAAATTGACAGCCAACTGATTATCAACAAACATGCCAAGAACATATATTGGGTAAAGGACAGTTTCTTCAATAAATGCTGCTAGCAAAACTGCATATCCATATGCAAAAAAACAAAACTCAACCTCTGTCTCTCACGATATACAAAAATCTACTCAAGACAGAATAAGACCCAAAGTAAGACCTGAAACTATGAAACTATAGAAGAAAACACAGAGGAAACGCTTCAAGACATTGGTCTAAGCAAACATTCTATCAGTAAGACCTCAAAAGCATAGGAAACGAATTTAAAAATAGACAAATGGGTGTATCAAACTAAAAAGCTTCTGCAGAGCTCAGGAAACAACCAACGGTGTTATGACCTACAGAGGCAGGGAGAAACATTTGTTACCTATTCCTCTAACAAGGGTTTGATCATCAGAATATATGAGGAACTCAAACAGCTCAGAGCCTTTGATGGAGAAATGAAGAGGTGCTGCTACGTAGAGAAATAAAGAAGTCAGAGGGAGGAAGTTTGGGAGGAACAAACCATGCTTTCCAGGTATTGGGAGGCTCTGTTTCTCTCTCTGACTTAGTTAACTGTTTTTAATACATCTCCTTCAGTCTGCTTCCCACATGGGGTCATTGCTCCTGTGATGGCCCTATTGGTTCCTCTTGTCAACCAAGTCAGAGAATGGAAGAGCTTTCATTCCCTGAGCATCTTCTTCTTCACACACAATGAACAAATCCACACCATTCTACCACAGAGTCCTTTTTATCAATGTCTCCTGTCCAACGCTACAGTCCAAGCTCAGCTGGTTTCCTCAGCTCAGCACTTCATGGATTATGACAGCATAACTCCAATCCCTGCCTCTATCTCTGGGCTGGTTTCCCATTATTACTGCAGAAGCCCCCATTCTGTGTGAACAGACACAGTGACACACCAGACACCCCCTCCAGCCTGGCCCCTGGAGGATCTGAATGGAGATTGGGACTCCGCAGGGTTGCCCAGGAACATGGTTTCACACATTCTCCTGTAGGAAATCCATAACCACTATCACCACGTGGTCATTTCCAGCATCTTGGGATGTAGAGGATGCCGGCTGGTCCCTGCAGTGGCAGATCCTGTGGCAACTCTGGAAATCCTGTGAAGAACTTACGGAGGCCCTGTGAAGATCCTATGGAGATCCAGTCGAGGTCCTATGAAGATCCACGGAGAACCTATGGATGTCCTGCAAAGGTCCTATGGAGAATCTATTGAGATTCTATGGGGGTCCTGTGGGGGTTCTATTGAGATCCTATGGAGGTCCTGTGGGGGTTCTATTGAGATCCTATGGAGGTCCTGTGAGGGTTCTATTGAGATCCTATGGAGGTCCTGTGGGGGTTCTATTGAGATCCTATGGAGGTCCTGTGGGGGTTCTATTGAGATCCTATGGAGGTCCTGTGGGGGTTCTATTGAGATTCTATGGAGGTCCTGTGGATGTCCTATTGAGATCCTATGGAGGTCCTGTGGGGGTTCTATTGAGATCCTATGGAGGTCCTGTGGGGGTTCTATTGAGATCCTATGGAGGTCCTGTGGGGGTTCTACTGAGATCCTATGGAGGTCCTGTGAGGGTTCTATTGAGATCCTATGGAGGTCCTGTGGGGGTTCTACTGAGATCCTATGGAGGTCCTGTGAGGGTTCTATTGAGATCCTATGGAGGTCCTGTGGGGGTTCTATTGAGATCCTATGGAGGTCCTGTGGGGGTTCTACTGAGATCCTATGGAGGTCCTGTGAGGGTTCTATTGAGATCCTATAGAGGTCTTGTGGGGGTTCTATTGAGATCCTATGGAGGTCCTGTGGAGGTTCTATGGACAACCTATGGAGAACCTGTGGAGAACCTATTGAGATCTTATGGAGGTCCTGTGGAGGGCCCATGGAGATTCTATAGAGATCTTGCTGATCCTATGGAGATTCGAGCACTTTTCCATGCATGAGGTTGGGAAATAGACGTGGGGTTTCAGGATAGGAAGTCTAAGGCCAGCACTATGTTTTCGTAGGAAACTCAAAGTAAATAGTTTCATGTTCCAGAAGAAGCCCAAATTGAGATATATCTGGGGACCTAAGACAGAGGGGTGCTGTGCACTCACCCAAAGGCTCTTTTTCTTGGGTCTCAACCGTGCATTCACAAAACTGATTTGGAGCAAGATGGAGACCCCACATTAGTGATCAGACAGAAAGAGCTTCCACTGTGCATGGCCTGAAATCTCATTTCCCACCCAGGTGTTTCTCTCACATGGAGGAAAAGACATAAGCCATTGGAAGAGGCTCAGATAATTCTGCCCACCTCAGATCCCAGGTAATGACTCATTGTGGCCGGAAGAAGGTGGATCATAAAATCCCTCTACCCTAGGAGGAGTGCAGAGAACAATCCTGGACTGTGATCCTAGACAAATACCATTAGAGATATGCAAATTTGGAATAGGGACAGAAAACCCGTCCCCATCAAACAAACCTACTCAATACAATGCAGCTGCCATGAGGAGCGGGGACAGAAACACGGAGACAAACCCACCCTCAAGGCCCAGGCACACAGAAACTGCCGGAGACTGAGGCTGGAGGAGGACAGGAGAAACGTCTGCTCTCGACCAGGAGCTTCTCCTGAGAAGCTAGCAGGAGCGCCCACAGCTGGGGTTAGGAGATCTAAGGATCCGCTGATGACTGGGTTAATGCCGTGAGCTTCAGCCAGCTCTGTGTCAGCAGCCCCAGTGCGTGCTGGAGGGGCCCGTGAGTGTCGTGGCCATGGAGCAAGAAAAAAAGGACATGCTGCCAGGCGCAGTGACTCACGCCTGTATTCCCAGCACTTTGGGAGGCCGAGTTGGGCAGATTATCTGACGTCAGGAGTTCAAGACCAGCCTGGCCAATATGGCGAAACCCCGTCCCTACTGCAAATACAAAAACTAGCCAGGTGTGGTGGAAGGTGCCTGTAATCCCAGCTACTCGGGAGGCTGAGGCAGGAGAATCAGGGGACAGAGGTTGCAGTGAGCCGAGATCGCGCCACTGCACTCCAGCCTGGGCGACAGAGTGAGACTCCGTCTCTAAATAAAATAAAATAAAAGAATCAAAGAAAAAAGGACATGCATGGAACCAACACCAGCGACTCCCTCTTACCAAGGACCAAGCAGCCACCACTGTCGCTGAGAGTCTCACCTGTGACCAGCAGAGCGCTCTGGATGTGATGCCTTTGAGTGGACCAGCGAGCGAGTCATCTGGTGGCCGCTTGACGACATGGCGCGCATTCCACCAGGAGGGGGCAGCAAATCCTCCTGACCGGGCTGGATGCTGGCGCTCAGATGGGTTCTGCTGGGCTCACTGTGGCTCTCCGCCAGGAATCAGAGGCTCCCGCCTGTTTAAATGGAGCATCTCATGACTTAATCTCAGATCGAGGGACCTGCACGCCCATGAAATCAGTGGGGCAATGAGAACAGGGCCACGTGATATCCTGGGGATGATCTGAGATAGGATGCGTGCCATGTAGTGGTTGGGTGCTGCTGGGGCTGACAGAGCATCGGAATGGCCTCTTACAGTAGATGCAAGAAACAGTTTGTGGATGAGACTCTGCACTTTAGGTGCTCTCTGATGGTGTAACAGACATAGATATAAAACAGAGATATAGATAGCTGTAGACAATATACATATTCATATGAATGAACACTAAATGATGCTATGTCTTTTCCTTCTAATATTTTTGTTCTTATTTTTCTATAATGGGCTCTGCAAATGAAAATGCTATGTCTTTTCAGAGGTAGAACACACGGGCTGGGAAAGGAAAGGAGCGTGTCATCAACAGCCCCCATCACCACCCCTCCAGGTGACTCACTGGGCAGATAAGCACGTCCTGGGCCTGCACTTTTAGGTGATTTGGGGTTAGACGATCTGCCTGGTGGGAAATTACTACCAGGGAAGAAACTAAGGGTTACCCTACGCCAAAAATGATCACTTTGCCCTTTTCTCTTTTTTTTGGCTAACTTTAGGATATCTATTTTGTAAAAAATTAGTTGCTTTTTATACAACTTTACAAAGTTTTTAATGTTTCTTTGGCATTGGAATATAATGGAATTTTACAACTGTATAAAAAAGTTACGTTTGCCTAAGAAACAGTATTTACCGTGTGTACCTAGTTGACTGACAAAATTCTCTACCATCCAGCACCCTAATTAATTGATGAAATAGACTATTTAATATTACAAGATTCCCCAAAAGAAAGGAGGAGAAAGATACACACACACACACACACACACACACACACACACACCCTCCCTTCTTGGCTCAGAACACAGTATCACGGCCCTATCTGCAGGCAACCTGGAATTACCAAATACAATTCAGTGATTAAAAAAAAAAAAAAAAAACCTTTCAGTGATGACACAATACTTATAAGTCCCACTGAAGTACTGCTTTAGTTTAACTATACATAAGAAATTATTTAACCTTCTGCTATTCCAAATATATTTAATCCTCATGTCTTAAGATAAGGCTTCCTCCCCCGAAAACTAACTGCATTTTATCTCTGAAATTAAACAGAAAAACAAACAAAAAACAAAAACCCAGTGCTGATGGCAAACATACAGCCAATTCACTTCTTCGTTCTTCGCAAAGACTGAAATCAGTTTCCAGTACCATGAAGAGCTAGAAATTCACCTGTTTTCAAAGACTTGTTTGTAGACTATGCAGCAGCTTTGTTGTCTTTCTTTCAGAGAGCAGTACTATCAATTCAGACTATTTAGGGGCCAAAGGCTGTGCTTTTCCTATATTCAAAATCTGCAAACTCCCGACCCGTGGAACCTCCTCTGAATCCGCCGCGAAATCCTCAAGGGGTGGTCAAGGTACCACTTCTGCCACCACGCCCTCTGCCACCATGGAAACCAAGACCTCCCTCTGCCTCTGTATCCCCCATGGCCACGGTTTGGACAAAGTGGGATTCCAAATGTTTCAGCATTTAATCTTCTTCCTTCAGCCCAGGTTGGCCTCCGTTCTCTATTGTCATCACCAGAAATATTATCAAAGGAGGATTTAGTTTGGTCATAAAAGCAATTAGGTCCAAGTGCATCTTCTTCATCAGCATGTCCTTCACTGTTTTGGGTATCAACTCCTGAGTCTCCTTTATCTTCACCATTTACAGGCTTCTCCTCTTTCTCAAGTTTATCTTCTTTTAATTTAAGTTTATTATGAAACTCTCTGCCCATCTCTTCCTTGTTGAATTGGGCATTTGCACTTTCAAAGTCAAACTCTTTCTCTCACGCCTGTAATCCCAGCAATTTGGGAGGCCGAGGCGGGCGGATCACGAGGTCAGGAGATCGAGATCACGGTGAAACCCCGTCTGTACTGAAAAATACAAAAAAATTAGCCTGACGTGGTGGCGGGCGCCTGTAGTCCCAGCTACTGGGGAGGCTGAGGCAGGAGAATGGCGTGAACCCGGGAGGCGGAGCTTGCAGTGAGCCGAGATCGGACCACTGCACTCCAGCCTGCGCGACCGAGCGAGAGTCCGTCTCCAAAAAAAAAAAAAAAAGTCTTTCTCAAATTTCATTGGCCCATCTCGCCGAATAGCAAATCTTCCCCTGCCACCCCATGACCCCCACGCCCTCTCCTTGGCGCTGAAGGAGCACCTGGAGCTGCTTGTCTCTTGTTTCATTCCTGAGTTGCTCATTTTCTGGCCTTGGAACGTTGTGCGCTTCAGCTCACCTCTGCTCCTGATTCTCTATTGCTTTTTGGCTGGTAGATGGCAAAGGCCTGGTTGATACAGGACTCCTTCTCCCAACAGGTGCTGGAGCAGGTCCGTGGGCCCAGGCGGTCTGCACTCCTTGTTCCATGGTTGGGCTTCTTCTCAAAGGGTCGAACTGAGCGCTTGAAGGACCTTGAGATAATTGTGTTTTTAGGGATCTTGTATCCTGTGTAAAGGCAGAATCAACCGCTCTACTTTGGGGCAAGCTACCACTGTTTGATATTTCTGTTCCAAAGGAGGTCAAAGAGCTTCCAGCAACACCAACAGCACCAAACTGCTGCCCCACTAAGGAACTTGGACTGAACTGGCTGGATGTGTCCATAAGAACCCATGGACTGGAATGAAGAAGTCGATGAGCCTAGTGAGAACTGAATGATAGCTAGAGTTTCCATGTCATTCTTACTTTCTCAAATATTTGGTAGAAATCAACAGTGTACCCATTTAGGCCAGATTTCCCTATGGAAAGATTTCTGAGTGTAGGTTGAATTTCTTTTCTTTTTTTTTTTTTTTCAGAGTCTCCCTCTGTCGTCTAGGCTGGAATGCAGTGGTGTGATCTCAGCTCACTGCAACCTCCGCCTCCTGGGTTCAAACAGATCTCTTGCCTCACCCTCCTGAGTAGCTGGGATTACAGGCATGCGCCACCTCACTTGGCTAATTTTTGTATTGTTAGTAGAGGTGGGATTTCACCATGTTGGCCAGACAGGTCTTGAATTCCTGACCTCAGGTAATCTGCCCGCCTCAGCCTCCCAAGGTGCTGGAATTAAAGGTGTGAGCCACCAATCCCGGCCAGTTGAATTTCTTTAATAAAAATAGGAAATGTTACACTATATATTTGTTCTTGAGTAAATTTTGGTAGTTTGTATACTTCAAGATATTTTCTATTAAATGTAAGTTGTAAAACATCTTAGCATAGATTCCTAGTTTTGCTTCACTAGTCCTTTTATGTCTGTAGGATGGGTAGTGGTGCCTCTTTCCATCTTGATTTGGTAATTGTTGTGCTCCCTCTCTCTCTCTCACTCTCTTACTTTACATCCTACAAACGTTCATATGTTATAATTTCATTGACATTTTTCGTTAATGTTCTATCAATTTAATGTTGTGTGATTCTATAACCCATGAATATTTGTTTTTGCTTTTGCGATGGAGTCTTACTCTCTCACCCAGGCTGGAGTGCAGTGGCACAATCTCGGCTCACTGCAACTTCCACCTCCTGGGTTCAAGTGAATCTCCCGTCTCAGCCTCCCGAGTCATTGAAAATACAGGTGCATGCCACCACACCCAGCTAATTTTTGCATTCTCAGTAGAGACAGCATTTCACCATGTTGGCCAGGCTGGTCTCAAAGTCCTGACCTCAAGTGATCCACCTGCCTCAGCCTCCCAAAGTGCTGGGATTACAGGCATGAGCCACCACATCCAGCCTATAACCCATGAATATTTAGAATGTTATTTGTTTCCAAAGTATTGCTTTTTCTCTAAATGTCTTCTTATTGTTGGCTGCTAATTTAATTGAACTTCTAATCAGGAAACGTTACCTGTAGTAACAGTTTGGATGCTTACTTTGTTGTGTAAAAATGATAGAGACGGCTGGGCACAGTGGCTCTCACCTGTAATCCCACCACTTTGGGAAGCTAAGGCGGGTAGATCAAGAAGTCAGGAGACCGAGACCATCTGGGCCAACATGGTGAAATCCAGTCTCTACTAAAAATACAAAAAAATTAGCTGGGTGTGGTGGCGCACGCCTGTAATTCTAGCTACTCGCAAGCCTGAGGCAGGAGAATCGCTTGAACCCGGAAGGTGGAGATTGCCGTGAGCCGAGTTCGTGCCACTGCACTCCAGCCTGGCGACAGAGCTACACTTCGTTTCAAAAAAAAAAAAAAAAGATAGATATTTCTGATCAATATGTTTTCATAAATAAGTATTCCTGGCCTCGCACAGTGGCTCACACCAGTAATCCCAACATTTTGGAAGGCCAAGGTGGGCAGATCCCGTGAGCCCAGGAGTTTGACACCAGCCTGGGCAACATAGCGAAACCTTGTCTCTACAAAAAAATACATATTAAAAAAATTTAGCCAGGCAAGGTGGCATGATCCTGTAGTCCCAGCTACTCAGGAAATGGTTGTGGCAGAATCACCTAGGCCTCAGGAGGTCGAGGCTGCAGTGAGCTGGGATAGTGCCATTGTACTTCAGATGGAGCAACAGAGAGAGACCTTGTTTCAAAAAAATATATATAAAGAAATATGCATTCCCACTTTGTTGCTATATGTATATTCCAGAAACGTTTCTATACAAATTTACATAATATATAAACAATCGAAACATCATATTTGCGCATGAGATTGAACATTTGTGCCATGCAACCCTCACGAATATTTTGTTCACTTAATCTATCAAAGTCTGATCAATATTTCTTCAAATCCTCCACTGTGTCTCAATTGATGCTTTGTAAATTTTAAGGACATGTGGTTGGTTGAGTGAAAGTGTATAACTTTCTCTTCTTCACAGATTGCTGATTTAAAAGTATGAAATATCCAGGCGTGGTGGCTCACGCCTGTAATCGCAGCACTTTGGGAGGCCGAGGCAGGCGGTTCACGAGGTCAGGAGATCGAGACCACGGTGAAACCCCGTCTCTACTAAAAATAGTAAAAAATTAGCCGGGCGTGGTGGCGGTCGCCTGTAGTCCCAGCTACTCGGGAGGCTGAGCCAGGAGAATGGTGTGAACCCGGCAGGCAGAGCTTGCAGTGAGCCAAGATCGCGCCACTGCACTCCAGCCTGGGTGACAGAGCGAGGCTCCGTCTCAAAATAAAATAAAATAAATAAATAAATAAATAAAAGTGTGAAATATCATCTATTTTTCTTTTCAAAGGCTGTTTGTGTTAGTATTGGTTTGCTATTGCTGCCACAACAAATTACACGTATTGAGCAGCTTCAGCAACACAAACTCATTATCTCACAGTCTTTTAGGACAAAATCAAGGCCATAACGTGGCTGCATTCCTTTCTGGAGGCTCCAGAGACGCGAATCCATTTCCTTGCTCTTTCAAATTCTTAGTAGAAATGCATATACTTGTATATACACAGATTACAGATAGATCTATGCTTATTCGTTTTTTGTATGTACTGTTGACTTATTCACAGTAGCATCTCATCTTCTCCATTTGGGGTTCATTATTCCACTCCCTGATTTACATTGTTTAGTATTGCTTTCAGAAAGAGCCCAGATGCAAACATGTCTGCAGCCTTGCAGCTCAAGCGATGCCTGCTTCTCTGTCTCTGTCTCTCTCCGTGTGTGTGTGTGTGTCTCCCTCTCCCTCTCTCTCTCTGTCTCAATCTCTCTCTGTCTCTCCGTCTCTCTCTGTCTGTCTCAATCTCTCTCTTTCTCTGTTGTTATCATAGTACCTGATAAAAGGACACTGAAAACGCCCTCCTTATTCCTCATAAGGCCACCGCCTGACCTGACGGGTCACGAGTGCCCCGAGTCTCCTTATGTTCTAGGATTTATCCACAGCTGACACTGCAACTCGGTCCTTTAATAATAACTAGGCCAGGTTGCGGTGAGCCGAGATCGCGCCATTGCACTCCAGCCTGGGCAACAAGAGCGAAATTGCATCTCAAAAGATAATAATAATAATAATAAATAATTATAATAGTAATAATTAGGCCCAGCACAGGAACTCTCTCCTCACAGTTAAACGCTTGTGGTTGTTTCTCCTGTATCTTCTGGGGCTGCTGTTTGCTCTTTGGAACTCCAGTCCCGATGAACTTGTCATTCATTCAAGGGTAATTTACATTTTCTCTGGTAGTTTTATGATTATTTTAAATTAATGCCTCATGGTTTTCACTTTACCATGATCGAGATATTCAATTTAGTTATAAACTGATGTTTTCTCTTCAGTTCTGTAAAAATTTCAACCATTAGCTCTTCATGCATATCATGAACTAACATCCTTCTTCCTTCTTTCATTCTGAAACCGTGACAGACACGTTCTTTCTTCTCATTCAACTTCGTGTATATATCAATATTTTCTATTGTTCAATTTCTGTTCTTTCCATGATACAGTCTGGAAAATTTCATGAATATTTTATCCCAATGTATATATTTATTATTTCAGCTGTCTTGCCCTGGATTAAATTATGCTTTGATTTTGTTATGTTTGCATAGTAGGTATATATGGTTAGTAAATTGCTTTTTTTTTTGAGACACAGTTTCGCTCCTGTTGTCCCAGCTGAAGTACAGGGGCGCAATCTCAGCACACAGCAGCCTCCATCTTCCAGGTTCAAGAGATTCTCCTGCCTCAGCCTCCCGAGTAGCTGGGATTACAGGCACTCACCACCACGCCCAGATAATTTTTTGTATTTTTAGTAGAGATGGGGTTTCACCATGTCACCCAGGCTGGTCTCGAACTCCTAGCCTCAAGTGATCTGCCCGCCTCCACCTCCCAAAGTGCTGGGATTACAGGCATGAACTACCACGCCCAGACATAAATTCCTTTTTAATGGCGTTAATTTAATATAGTTTTTCACCTTCACGATGTCTGTCTAATGCATTTCAACAACTGTCTATTTTGTCCTCATACGGTTGTCATTCCTGTGGGGCGGCTCCTCCCACGCACCTGACCTTTCATAAAGGGTTTCTCCCACGGCTGTCCAGGCATCAGCCTGATGAAGGGGATTGTTGCCGCTGCTCCTGCCCCACTCCCCCAAACTCAGTGTCAGCTCAAGATTGTGCCCAGCAGGGATGGGACCAATGCCAGCCTCACACTCACCTGTGGGGCAGACGCCCATGTCTGACCACCGTGGATCGAATCTGTTTCTCACACACAGGGGAGGGGCTGAGCGCTGACCGTGGCCTCCAGTGAGTGAGCAGAGACCCCCCAGCGCCTGTCCACACACACAGGGGAGGGGGAGCCACAGCTTCCAGCGTCACCCAGAGCCCTGACCCCTCCCTGCCTGGGAGGACGTGGGGTTCCTCTTCTGTCCCACACGGAGGTGGGAGCCTCCTCCTCCCTAATGACGCTCGGTGGTCCCAGACACCTGTGGCCACTCAGCATTGAACTCTGCTCATGGAAGGGGATGCGTCTCAATGTGAGGAACTGTTCTTCCTCTTTCTCGGCCTGTGGCTGTGATGATCTGCATATTTCAGACGTATCACAAGGAGAATTTCATGGTATTTGGAGCCGATGTGGGCTCTTGAGTGGGGGCGTCAATCATCCTCCTCGACTGTGGAGCCCAGCACCAGGATCCTCTCCCGTCCCCACCCTCCTGTCTGAACTGGTCTGGAAATTCACCATGGCTGAGCCTCCCATGTCCTGGGCACCACTGACCCCCACAGCCACTGTGATGAGTGGGGTTCATGACAGCAGGCTCAGAGGTGACATTCATGTCCAAAGTCACATAAACCCTAGATGATAATCAGGAATTAAATACAAATCAGCTCACCTTCCCCAGAATCAGATTATAGATTACAATGAAACATATATATATATATTTCTCTTTATCCCCTCTATTTCTCCTTTTTAGACAGGATCTTGCTCTGTCGCCCAGGCTGGAAGGCCAAGGGGTGATCATATCTCCCTGAAGCCTCCGCCTCCCGGGCCCAAGTGATCCTCCCACCTCAGCCTCCTGAGTAGCTGGGACCACAGGCATGAGCCTCCATGCCCAGCTCACTTTTTTCTTTTCTGTAGAAACAGGGTCACAGTCTGTTTCCCAGGACTGTCTGAAGCTCCTGGCCTCAAGCCATCACCCGCCACAGCCTCCTGAAGTACTGGGATTCCAGGCATGAGCCACCACGGTAGACCCTGCATTTCTCTGTGCTCACTGCTACACGCAGCTCAGCCTGGACTACACAGCCAGGTGTCAGGTGCGTCTCTGCTGATCTGAGTCTGCCTGCAGCATGGACCTGGGTCTTCCCTGAAGCATCTCCAGGGCTGGAGAGACGACTGCCATGGTAAGGACCCCGTAACGCTGAACTGATGGACGAGCTGAAGGAGGGAGGGAGACCCCATGGGGAGGCTCTGAGAGGGAGGAGGAGCCCACGGTCACCCTCGCCTGAAAGGGGCTGACTCAGGAAGGCACCAGGTCTATTTGCGGCTGTGTCCCCGTCCTCAGTGAGATAAAGATAAATCAGGCAGACAGTGGCCCGGGGGCAGGGAGACCCCATTTCTCTCTGAAATGCCTGCAGAGAGCCTGGTGCCTGCCCCCACTTCAGCCCTGGGGAAATCAGAGCCAGGTTCCTGGGGTGGCAGTTCCTCTTCCTGTGGGCTGAGGATGAGACAACCCCATGACAAGAAGGACCCAGCCTCCGAGCGGCCACACCCTGTGTGTCTCTCTGTCCTGCCAGCACTGAGGGCTCATCCCTCTGCAGAGCGCGGGGTCACCGGGAGGAGACGCCATGACGCCCGCCCTCACAGCCCTGCTCTGCCTTGGTGAGATTTCAAGATGGGGAGGGGGAGATCCGAGTCTTAGAGGAACCCCACCCCACACACAAGCCCTGGTCCATCAGGAGACCTCAAAAGCTCAGGAGGCACCCGGGCGGGGACCTGCTCAGGCTTCAGGGCAAATGCCTCACAGGGAACTCTCTTCCAGGGCTGAGTCTGGGCCCCAGGACCCGCGTGCAGGCAGGTGAGTCTGTCCCCAGCTGTCCCAGGTCCCTACTCCTCACTGGGACAGGGGGCCACCCATGGGCAGCTGGGGGAGGAGACAGTAGTTCTGGGTGACTGATGGGGATGATGGGGAAGTCCTGGGGCTGGGAGCTGGGATCTGAGCGTGGGGATGTCTTGGGATCCAGCCTCTGATTTCCATCTAGGGCCCTTCCCCAAACCCACCCTCTGGGCTGAGCCAGGCTCTGTGATCAGCTGGGGGAGCCCCGTGACCATCTGGTGTCAGGGGAGCCTGGAGGCCCAGGAGTACCGACTGGATAAAGAGGGAAGCCCAGAGCCCTTGGACAGAAATAACCCACTGGAACCCAAGAACAAGGCCAGATTCTCCATCCCATCCATGACAGAGCACCATGCGGGGAGATACCGCTGCCACTATTACAGCTCTGCAGGCTGGTCAGAGCCCAGCGACCCCCTGGAGCTGGTGATGACAGGTGAGAGGACACTCTGGGGTCCCAGCCCCAGGCTCTGCCCTCAGGAAGGGGGTCGGATCTCAGGGGCGTCTCCCTCTCACAGCCCAGCCCTGGGGATGATGTGGGAGGTGGGAGCCCCATTTAACACGGTGCCTCTTTCTCTCCTAGGATTCTACAACAAACCCACCCTCTCAGCCCTGCCCAGCCCTGTGGTGGCCTCAGGGGGGAATATGACCCTCCGATGTGGCTCACAGAAGGGATATCACCATTTTGTTCTGATGAAGGAAGGAGAACACCAGCTCCCCCGGACCCTGGACTCACAGCAGCTCCACAGTGGGGGGTTCCAGGCCCTGTTCCCTGTGGGCCCCGTGAACCCCAGCCACAGGTGGAGGTTCACATGCTATTACTATTATATGAACACCCCCCAGGTGTGGTCCCACCCCAGTGACCCCCTGGAGATTCTGCCCTCAGGTGAGGGAGCCACGGCCTTGTCTAACACACTTTCGGGGCAGCTGACAGGTTGTGGGGAGTTTGGCTGGTGACTGAATCTGGAAAGGACCCAGAGTGATGTGTTGAAGGACGGGCTGAAGGCATGAGGGAGACCCCATGGGGAGGCTCTGACATGGGAGGAGGAGCCCTCGACCACGTTCACCTGGAAGGGGAGGACTCAGGAAGGCATCGGTGTGTTTGCTGTGAGGTCCCAGCTCTCAGGGAGAGGAGGAAAGATCAGGCACAGTGGCCAGGGCTAGGGAGACCCCACTCCTCTGAAATGACTCCAAGACAGCCCCGGGTGAGAAGGAGGCCCTGGGGTCAGAGACTCAGAGCGTGAGAGACAGTGAGACCTGCAGGGCCAGGACGGGAGAAGGAAGGGGCGTGGGAGGAACCAGCCCTCTCAGTCCTGGCTCCTCTTTCCCTCCAGGCGTGTCTAGGAAGCCCTCCCTCCTGACCCTGCAGGGCCCTGTCCTGGCCCCTGGGCAGAGCCTGACCCTCCAGTGTGGCTCTGATGTCGGCTACGACAGATTTGTTCTGTATAAGGAGGGGGAACGTGACTTCCTCCAGCGCCCTGGCCAGCAGCCCCAGGCTGGGCTCTCCCAGGCCAACTTCACCCTGGGCCCTGTGAGCCCCTCCCACGGGGGCCAGTACAGGTGCTATGGTGCACACAACCTCTCCTCCGAGTGGTCGGCCCCCAGCGACCCCCTGAACATCCTGATGGCAGGTGAGGAGCCCAGCGGGTTCAGTCAGGGACCCAGGCTCTGCACAGGCCCTGCTGGGGGAGCCCAGGTGGTGATGGCCGGGATGAGGGGTGGGGGTCCCAAGGGAGGGAGAGACAGACAGAGACAGGGGATGGGCGGGGAGGCGAGACTCAGAGAAAACAGAGACAGAGACACTGAGGGTCCCAGGGAGAGGCCTGGGGAGGTGTCAGCTCAGAGCAAGGTGGGGCAGCCCCTCACCCATCCTTCTTCTCTCCAGGACAGATCTATGACACCGTCTCCCTGTCAGCACAGCCGGGCCCCACAGTGGCCTCAGGAGAGAACGTGACCCTGCTGTGTCAGTCATGGTGGCAGTTTGACACTTTCCTTCTGACCAAAGAAGGGGCAGCCCATCCCCCACTGCGTCTGAGATCAATGTACGGAGCTCATAAGTACCAGGCTGAATTCCCCATGAGTCCTGTGACCTCAGCCCACGCGGGGACCTACAGGTGCTACGGCTCATACAGCTCCAACCCCCACCTGCTGTCTTTCCCCAGTGAGCCCCTGGAACTCATGGTCTCAGGTGAGGGCGCTGACCCCGTCCTCTCTGAGCTCAAAGGCTCAGCTCAGGCCCAGGCCCCCAGGAGAGCTCTCGGCTGGGATGGACCGAGGGAGGCTGTGAGGGAGGCTTAGCCAGAGGGCACCCAGCCCTCAGAGGGGAGGAGGCCAACAGGGGTTCTCCTAGGCGTGGCCACCCGTTCTCCCCTGCCTGGCATGCAGAAGGCACCAGGTGGGCAGAGAGATGGTTCCAGGGAATCCACTGGGCGGAAGCAGGAGAGTGGGAGTGGAAGGGTGCACTCCATGGACGGCCCCCGCCCCTCACCCGCCTCCCGTGCTCCTTCCAGGACACTCTGGAGGCTCCAGCCTCCCACCCACAGGGCCGCCCTCCACACCTGGTGAGTCACTGAGGCCTCTTGGGGAGCGCGGCCTCCCCCAGGGCAGTCTGAGTCTCCCAAAGGATCCCACTCCCCTCCCCTCAAGGACGGGCTTGTGTCCCAGGGGCTCTGAGGCTGGGCTGGTGAAGAGTGGGGGGTTCAAGGCAGAGAGAGATGTTGGGGCCCAGCCAGGAGGAGGAGCCGGGCTGATGTGGGGAGCAAGGTAGCCCCAGGCTTCACCTCCCTGTCCTGACCCAGGAGGTCCTGAGGACCAGCCCCTTAACCCCCCAGGGTCAGGCCCTCAGAATGGTGAGTGAGGGGCTCTGAGTGGGAGATGGGCGGGGTCCAGGGGAGGCAGGGGTGGGTTCTGTCCTAGGTTCAGGCTCCTCTGGAGGTGGTGATGTGGACAGGCCCCTCCCCTGCCTGGGCCTCAGTTTCTCCAAGTGTAAAGGAGAGAGGCCTGTGGGTGGGAAAGTTCCTTTCAGCTCTGACCCCCAGCTATGACCTCCTGGGAGAGGAGGCCTCCCAGGGAACCTCCCAGACCCGATTCCACAGGGGCCTGTCCCGTCCCACCTGCAGCAGTGACGGTGACCTGGGGCAGGGGAGGGGAGCAGGGCCGTGGTTCAGGACGGTCAGGCTCTTTCCCTGCAGCTCCGGGTCTCGGCTCTGGTGCAGGAACAAGGGCTGCAGGCCAGACTCCCGGGCTCCCTTCCCAGCTCTGCCGCTTCCTCGCTGGAGGCCTGGGGCAGGCGACTCCCTGCTCTGAGCCTCAGTTTGTGCATCTGTGAAATGGGTTGTACGGGTGGCAATTCCATGTTGCACGACTGCTTGTGAGGGTTGGAGGTCACGAAGGAAAGACCTGGCTCGCGCCTGCACACAGTAGGTGCTCACATCAATGACATCATTCCCACTCCTGACGTCCTCATGTCAAGGTCTGGGAAGATACCTGGAGGTTTTGATTGGGGTCTCGGTGGCCTTCGTCCTGCTGCTCTTCCTCCTCCTCTTCCTCCTCCTCCGACGTCAGCGTCACAGCAAACACAGGACATCTGGTGAGTAGGGAAGCGGGGGACCCATGGGTCGACCGAGGGTGGGCTCAGGGCACCAGCCAGAGGGAACCCAAACACACAGGGGTGTCAGTTTAGAAAACCGGTTCCAGGGGCACGTAATTTCAATACGCATTTACAAACTTCAGTATTCATGGGAGTTTTTTTCTATCTCATAAAATATTTGGAACATCCATGCAGGAATATTTTTAGTTTTCCTTCTTTCCCTCAAGTTGCATGTGTAGAATGGGAGTTCTAATGTTCCCAGGGCTGAGACTCTGTCCATCTTCACCCAGACCAGAGAAAGACTGATTTCCAGCGTCCTGCAGGGGCTGCGGAGACAGAGCCCAAGGACAGGGGCCTGCTGAGGAGGTAATTCTGCCCCAAAGACCACAGACTCCCACCCACCACAGCCCATACACTGCCCCTCACACTCCCATGTCCTCCTCCAGGTCCAGCCCAGCTGCTGACGTCCAGGAAGAAAACCTCTGTAAGAGGAAGAGAGGGGACAAATGGGGGTGCTGGAGAGACAGGAGTCCCAAAATTTCAGTAGCAACAGGGAGGGGCTGGGAAGGGTCTGGGGCTCCGTGGAAGATGGTCTTGCCCCACACTGTGGGACCTCCCTGCATTCGGTGGCCCCATCTGGGAGCAGGGCAGGGGGCCAGCAGGACTGAGAGGTCTCAGAGAACCAGGAGACGAACCCCTTGCTCTGCCCCAGCAGATGCTGCCGTGAAGGACACACAGTCTGAGGACAGGGTGGAGCTGGACAGTCAGGTGAGATCCCGCCCCGTCCCAGGCACCAAAGGCCTCCTGGTGCCAGATCTAATCCTGCAGGACTTCTCTGTCCTCCTTCCCCCGGCTCTCAGCATCGTCACGGTGGACCCCTCCTTGTCCAGCATGCTGCCTCCCGCCTGCTGTGACCTCACTCTCTTCTGCTGTCCTGGGACCTCGTGGGCCTCCTCCCGGGTCCCCTTCCTGCTCCTCATCCTCTGTTTGGCCGTCTGGTTGTTAGAGCTCTCCCCAGGCCTCAGGAGGATGACGAATAAATGAACCACCTCCGTCCCCTGGGCTCCTCTTCATTCATTCATCCAGCGAGTGTTCCCAGGGAGCTCACTGTGGATGGGGCTCCCCATGGGAGCTGCAGACACAGCAGGGAGCAAAGCCGCCCCCGCCTCCTGAGCTCACCTCATGGTGGGAGACAAAATGCAAATAAATGCATCGTGTCCAGGAGTGCAACGTGCTGTAAGGAACATACACCAGGGAAAGGGCAGAGAGTGTGGGGCAGTGGGGCCAGTCTGAATGGAAGGGGAGGGCTGTCTGCTCAGCTGTCATCTGAGAAGCCTGGACAGAGTGGGGCACATGATCCTCTGATGGACGAGCCCCTGCAGGCAGAGGAAACAGCCGTGCAAAGGCCCCCAGGCAGCAGCGAGCTCTTGCAGGAAGGCCTGTGAGGCTGCAGCCAAATGGGCAAGGTCAGAGTGAGGAGCAGAGGCCAGAACCACAGGGAGGGAGCGGCCAGACCCTCCACGGCCTTAGGGCGTCCCTGAGATTCCATCAGGAAAGGGATGTAATCGGATCACCCCGGGAACAGTGAGGAAAATTGACTCCAGGAGGTCAGGGGGACTCAAGGACACCCCCCACCACTGTCTCTCTCCAGCAGAGCCCACACGATGAAGACCCCCAGGCAGTGACGTATGCCCCGGTGAAACACTCCAGTCCTAGGAGAGAAATGGCCTCTCCTCCCTCCTCACTGTCTGGGGAATTCCTGGACACAAAGGACAGACAGGTGGAAGAGGACAGGCAGATGGACACTGAGGTGAGTCCTTTCCTCTCCAGGCCCCCAGGCCTCCCCCACCCCCACCACGTTCCTTACCTCTCACTCTCCCCCGCTGCAGGCTGCTGCATCTGAAGCCTCCCAGGATGTGACCTACGCCCAGCTGCACAGCTTGACCCTTAGACGGAAGGCAACTGAGCCTCCTCCATCCCAGGAAGGGGAACCTCCAGCTGAGCCCAGCATCTACGCCACTCTGGCCATCCACTAGCCCGGGGGGTACGCAGACCCCACACTCAGCAGAAGGAGACTCAGGACTGCTGAAGGCACGGGAGCTGCCCCCAGTGGACACCAGTGAACCCCAGTCAGCCTGGACCCCTAACACAGACCATGAGGAGACGCTGGGAACTTGTGGGACTCACCTGACTCAAAGATGACTAATATCGTCCCATTTTGGAAATAAAGCAACAGACTTCTCAACAATCAATGAGTTAATAACAAAAAAACAAAAAACAAAAACAGACGTAAAGGCCGGGTGTGGTACTCAGGAGGCTGAGTGGGGAGGATTCCTTGAACACAAGAAGTTAAGGCTGCTGAGGCTGCAGTGAGCTATGACTGTGCCACTGCACTCCAGCCTGTGTGACAGAGCGAGACCTTGTCTCTAAAAAAAAAAACAGTGAATGTTTTAAACTGAATGATAATGTAAATATTATACATCGAACTTATGACATGGGAAAATTAAGAAGCATAAATAGGCCGGGCGCGGTGGCTCACGCCTATAATCTCAGCACTTTGGGAGGCTGATGCGGGCGGATCATGAGGTCAGGAGATCGAGACCATCCTGGCTAACACGGTGAAACCCCGTCTCTACTAAAAATACAAAAAAATTAGCCGGGCGTGGTGGCGAGTGCCTATAGTCCCAGCTACTCAGGAGGCTGAGGCAGGAGAATGGCATGAGCCCGGGAGGCAGAGCTTGCAGTGAGCTGAGATCGCACCACTGCACTCCAGCCTGGGCGACAGAGTGAGATTCCGTCTCGAAAAAAAAAAAAAAAGAAAGAAAAAAAATAAAAAAGAAGCATAACCAGGTGCAGTGGCTCACACCTGTAATCCCAATACTTTGGGAGGGCAAGTGGGGAGGATAGCTTGAGCTCAGGAGTTCGAGTCAGTCAGATCAGCATTGTGAGGCCCCATCTCTACAAAAAATAAAACCAGTCCGGCGTGGTGGCACACACCTGTAGTCCCAGCTACTTGAGAGGCTGAGGTGGGAGGATCACTTGGGTACAGGAGGTCGAGGCTGCAATGAGCCGAGATCGCACCACAGCACTTCAGCCTGGACGAGACCCTGTCTCAAAAAAACAAAACAACTAACAAGCCAGTGAAATTATCTGTTGATTAGTGTTTGCATAATACATTTTTCATCCTTCTGCTTTTTTAATGTGATAAAATATAAACAACAGGCCAGGCACGGGGGTTCATGCCTGTAATCCCAGCACTTTGGGAGGCCAAGGCGGGTGGATCACAAGGTCAGGAGTTCAAGACTAGCCTGGCCAAGATGGTGAAACCCCATCTCTACTAAAAATACAAAAACTGGCCAGGTGTGGTGGCAGGCACCTGTAATCCCAGCTACTAGGGAGGCTGAGGCAGAGAACTGCTTGAACCCAGGAGGCAGTGGTTGCAGTGAACCGAGATCACACCACTGCACTACAGCCTGGGCAACAGAGCAAGACTCTGTCTCAAAAAAAAAAAATTCCAATCTTGTAATCTCTTTTTGATCACTTATATTTAATGTAATCACTGATGACATTACAACCGTATGTCACTTAATGACAGGGATATGTTCTGAGAAAGCCATCATTAAAAAATTTTGGCCAGGCGTGGTGGCTCACGCCTGTAATCCCAGAACTTTGGGAGGCCAAGATGGGTGGATCACCAGAGGTCGGGAATTCGAGACCAGCCTGCTCAACATGGTGAAACCCTGTCTCTACTAAAAATACAAAAATTAGCCGGGCATCGTGGTGCATGCCTGTAATCCCAGCTACTTGGGAAGCTGAGGCAGGAGAATCGCTTGAACCTGGGAGGCGGAGGTTGCAGTGAGCCAAAATCGTGCCATTTCACTCCAGCCTGGGAGACAGAATGAGACTCCATCTCAAAAAAAAGAAAAAAAAAAAATTCACCGTCGTGTGAACATCATAGAGTCTACTTACACAAACCTACGTGGTATAACCTACTACATACATAGGCTATACCATCACATATGAAATGTGTAGTGGAGCGAAACATCGTTATGCGGTGCATGACTGTGTTCAGGTGTGCCTTTTTGTTTGTCTCCTCTGCTGTGTGTTGTTTCCCCTTTCCTGCCTACTCTAGGTTTTTAGAAATATTTTGATTTGTTAAAAACTTATGATTCCCCCCTCGCCCGGCCAGCCGCCCCGTCCGGGAGGGAGGTGGGGGGGTCAGCCCCCCGCCAGGCCAGCCGCCCCATCCGGGAGGTGAGGGGCGCCTCTGCCCGGCCGCCCCTACTGGGAAGTGAGGAGCCCCTCTGCCCGGCCGCCACCCCGTCTGGGAGGTGTACCCAACAGCTCATTGAGAACGGGCCATGATGACAATGGCGGTTTTGTGGAATAGAAAGGGGGGAAAGGTGGGGAAAAGATTGAGAAATCGGATGGTTGCGGTGTCTGTGTAGAAAGAGGTAGACATGGGAGACTTTTCATTTTGTTCTGTACTAAGAAAAATTCTTCTGCCTTGGGATCCTGTTGATCTGTGACCTTACCCCCAACCCTGTGCTCTCTGAAACATGTGCTGTGTCCACTCAGGGTTAAATGGATTAAGGGCGGTGCAAGATGTGCTTTGTTGAACAGATGCTTGAAGGCAGCATGCTCGTTAAGAGTCATCACCACTCCCTAATCTCAAGTACCCAGTGACACAAACACTGCGGAAGGCTGCAGGGTCCTCTGCCTAGGAAAACCAGAGACCTTTGTTCACTTGTTTATCTGCTGACCTTCCCTCCACCGTTGTCCTATGACCCTGCCAAATCCCCCTCTGCGAGAAACACCCAAGAATGATCAATAAAAAAAAAAAA
Source organism: Homo sapiens (assembly GCF_000001405.40). Taxonomy (NCBI): domain Eukaryota; kingdom Metazoa; phylum Chordata; class Mammalia; order Primates; family Hominidae; genus Homo; species Homo sapiens. Next base: position 189,270 of record NW_003571060.1, on the reverse strand, counting down.
CAAAAACTTATGATTCCTTAACTTTTCTATTTAATATTTTTGGACCATGGTTGACCACCAGGTAACTGAAAACACAGAAAGAAAATTACAGATAAAGGGGGACTACTGTATTAGAGTTTTTTAAAAATATATTTTAAATTTTTTTGTAGCAATGGGATCTCACGATGTTGCCCAAACTGGCCTCAAACTTGTGGGCTCAAGAGCCTCCCATCTCCGCCTCCCAAAGTGTTGGGATTACAGGCATGAGCCACTGTGCCCAGCTTAAGAGTTTTTAATTGAAAAATAATAATTGTACATATTTATGGAATACAGAATATTTGATTTTATCTACGTGTGTGTGTGTGGTTTTTTTTTTTTTCGAGATGGAGTTTCACTCTTTTTGCCCAGGCAGGAGTGCAATGGTGCAGTCTCGGCTCACTGCAACCTCCGCTTCCCAGGTTCAAGTGGTTCTCCTGCCTCAGCCTCCCAAGTAGCTGGGACTACATGTGTGCACCACTATGCCCAACATATATATATTTACATATATATATTTTTTTTTTTGAGACGGAGTCTCGCTCCATTCTACCTCAGCCTCCCGAGTAGCTGGGATTACAGACACATGCCACCACGCCTGGCTAAGTTTTATATTTTTAGTAGAGACAGGGTTTTGCCAGGCTGGTCTTGAACTCCTGACCTCTTGATCTGCCTGCCTCCCAAAGTGCTGGGATTATAGGCGTGAGCCACCGCACCCGGCCCAACAAATATATTTTTATTGAGATACAACTCTATTTTGTGGCATTTAGTAAATTCACAATATGGTGTAAGCATCACCTCTATCTCATTCCGAAACATTTTTATCATACCGAGAAGGAAACCGAGTTTACATCAAGCAATCACTCCCACCTAATCCCATGCAACAATTAACCTACTTTCTGCCTCTATCGATTGGCCTTCTTTGAATACCTTTTTTTTTTTTTTTTGAGACAGGGACTCACTCTGTCACCCAGGTTGGAGTGCAGTGGTGTGATCTCGGCTCACTGTAACCTCTGCCTCCCAGGCTCAAGCGATCCTGCCACCTGAGCCTCCCAAGTAGCTGGGATCACAGGCACATGCCACCATGCCGGGTGAATTTTTTGTATTTTTGGTAGAGATGGTATTTCACCATGTTGCCCAGGCTGGTCTCAAACTCCTAAACTCAGGCAATCCACCTGCCTTGGCCTCCCAAAGTGCTGGATTACAGGCAATGAGCCACCACACCCAGGCTGGATACTTCTTATAAATGAAATAACGTCATATGTGACCTTTTTTTCCTGACTGCTTTTATCTAGTATATTATCAAGGTTCACACATGTAGCATGTATGAGTACTTCATTCCTTTCTACGGTTGAATAATATTTTGTTGTAAGGATATACCACACTTTCTCTATTCACCAGCTGATAGACATCGCTACAAAAATAAGTAGTGGCTGTGGAGGTGCACGTCTGTAGTCCCAGCCACTCGGGAGCCTGAGGCGGGAGGATCACCTGAGCCACGATGTCAAGGCTGCAGTGAGCTATGATAGTGCCACTGCACTCCAGCCTGGGCAACAGGCCTCATCTTTTAAGCAAAGAAAAAAGAGGCCGAGCATGGTGGCTCATGCCCGTAATCCCAACACTTTGGGAGGCTGAAGCGGGCGGATCACCTGAGGTCAGGAGTTCAAGACCAGCCTGGCCAACATGGTAAAACTCTGTCTTTACTAAAAAATACAAAATTTAGCTGGATATGGTGGCGCGCATCTGTAATCCCAGCTAACTGGGAGATTGAGGCAGGAGAATCGCTGGCACCTGGGAGGTGGAGGCTGCAGTGAGCTGAGATCACGCCACTGCACTCCAGCCTGGGTGACAGAGCAAGACTCTGTCTCAAAAACAAAAAAAAAAAAAAAGAAAAAGAAAAAAGAGGCCGAGCATGATGGCTCATGCCTGTAATCCTAACACTTTGGGGGGCCAAGGCAAGAGGATGATTTAAGGTCAGGAGTTCGAGAATAGCCTGGCCAACATGGTGAAACTCTGTCTCTACTAAAAATACAAAAATTAGCCAGGCGTGGTTGCACGTGCCTGTAATCCAGCTACTTGGGAGGCTGAAGCAGGACAATCACCTGAACCCAGGAGGTGGAGGTTGTAGTGAGCTGAGGTCACGCCACTGCACTCCAGCCTGGGAAACAGAGCAAGACCATGTCTAAAAAAAAAAAAAAAGGGGGAAAGAAAAGAAAGAAAAAAAGAGTGCTACTCATTAACAGGAAAGTTGGCTGGGCGCGATGGCTCACGCCTGTAATCCCAGCACTTTGGGAGGCCGAGGCGGGTGGATCACGAGGTCAGGAGATCGAGACCATCCTGGCTAGCACGGTGAAACCCCGTCTCTACTAAAAATACAAAAGATTAGCCGGGCGTGGTGGCGGGCGCCTGTAGTCCCAGCTACTCGGGAGGCTGAGGCAGGAGAATGGCGTGAACCCGGGAGGCGGAGCTTGCAGTGAGCCGAGATCGCGCCACTGCACTCCAGCCTGGGCGACAGAGCGAGACTCCGTCTCAAAAAAGAAAGTCAGTGAAGGGACCTGTTTGGGAAAACAAAGCCCAGGCTCGAAGGAAGCTTGTGCTTCCCTCTGTGAGCAAGTTAAGTCTTAGAAACATCTCCCCGAGCCTCCTTCTCCCACGCGGGTCGTCTGTCCTGCGGCAGCCCCACTGGTTCCTCCCATCAACCAAGGCAGAGAGTGGAAAAGCTCCTCACACTCTTCTGCTTCACACACAGTGAACAAATCCAAACCTCTCTGCCCACATCCCTCCTCACCCGGCTCCACCCGTGTCCGCTGGTCCATCCCCACAGTCTAAGCTCAGCTGGGGACCGAGGACGCCCTGTCTGTGCACTGCACCAACCTCCCTCCTGGCCCCCTACTGGCTCCCATCCCTACTCCAGTCCATCCCTCTCATCACTTCCGAGGCCTCTTCTGACCATCTTACCTGGCTGTGACCCTCCACTGCTCAAATTCCCCCAACGGGGCTCCATCTTCCAAAAATAAGATGCACGTTCCTGTACTTCATGTTCAAGCCTGTTGATGACCAAACCTGATACACTTTCCAGCTTCACAGGCTATGGCTCCCCCTCTGCCACACCAAACTCATCACAGTTACCCACCCCCTGCCACACACACACAACCTCAGTTATTAAACACGTGTAAGTCTTCTGACGGCCGCTCCCTGAGCCAATCCGGATGTAGCTGACACCTCTGCAGAGCTGGTAGACTATGACAAAGAGAAGCCCTCCTGCCTCGTTCCACTCCACTGTAAACGTATGTGTGTCATAGGTCATGAGGAGTCCACATAAACCACTTAGAATCCTTATCAGCACATTGCCTAGTGGCTGGGCTCACGCTGGAGTGTGGTTATGGTTAACCATTAGTGAAACCCTCCCATATTGCATTCTGTGCAGTGATGGGCTTGTAAAAACAGACATCTGTTTCCACTGTGCTTTCTAAAGATTCCCCGGTTTTTTTTTTTTTTTTTTTGAGATGGAGTCTCACTCTGTCACCTAGGCTGGAGTGCTGTGGCGCGATCTCGGCTCACTGCAACCTCCACCTCCCGGGTTCAAGTGATTCTCCTGCCTCAGCCTCCCGAGTAGCTGGGATTACAGGCGTCCACCACCACACCTGGCTGATTTTTTGTGTCTTTAGTAGAGACGGGGTTTCACCATGTTGGCCAGGCTGGTCTCGAACTCCTGACCTCATAATCCACCCACCTCCGCCTCCCAAAGTGCTGGGATTACAGGTGCAAACCACCGTGCCGGGCCGGATTTTCCATTTTCTTAAACATAGCATCCAATAAATCTTCACGGTGCACAAGTCCCCTGAATGACAAGGTCCCAGCTTCCTTTGGCTCACTCTCAGGTCTGAGAACAGCCCACACTGTTTCTGGTGGAGGACACTCTGCGTGCCACACTCACTGTTCACGTCTTGGTCTCTCCATCCCCCAGAAGGACCCCTCACTCCCATGACAGGTGTACGCTGCTCACCTGCTATGAGCATGTTTTCCTCCTTTCCTACAACTTGTCGAAACCGGAGCAGAATTACCTCCTATCTAAACATGGGTAATGTGTCATTAACCCAGGCTCTGTGAGTCCAGCAGGAATCCTATCAGCTTCACCCACGACTCCCCTCCTCCTGGCAGCATGCCTGGATGTGGTAACCACTGAATAAACATCGCCTGATCGCAAGGCTCATGAAAGAAAAGATGCATTACAGAGCTCAGGACATGGAAGGGGCTTGCCTCTAGAATTAGAACAGTGACTGGGCTGTGTCCTAAGGCCCTGCCCTCTCTGGCCTCAGCCTCATGTGCTAGAACAAGGGTCACCCCTGGATGAGAGTTGGGTGAGGTGGAAGCAGGCAGAGTATGGGGAAGTCAAATTTTGACTCAAATGTGGTCTGAAAGGCCCCCAGAGCCTGCTGTCCCCTCAGCCCCATCCTTCAGGGGGAGCAGAGCGAGGCCCTGGGGAAGGGGCTGTTCCCCTCCTGCAAGGCCACTGGTGAGAACACATGACCTGTAACACAGAGCCCGGGGCTCCTTATACCAGCACACCCATCTGCCCTCCAGGCTCTGTGGCTCAATGGTCTAATTCATCTGCACTGCTGGGGACCGTGACAGGCAGGGCCACAACCCCCACCCTCATTGCCCATCTCCCTGCTGTGTGTCCAGGGAAGCCTTAGGTGGACACGGGGTGGTCAGTGACCCCGACCTCTTGGGCCAGAAGCACAAGGCAGAAGGCATGGAGTTGAGACCGGTGAGAGCTCTCCCTGCAGGCCCCAGCGGGCCCCAGAGAGTACGCATCCCCTAAATACCAGTCGCCTCATCTCAGGGGCGTCCAGGCAGCCCTCAGCCCTCCCTCTCAGCACAGCCGTGATCGCCGGTGCTCTCTGGAGACAGCCTGACCCCTCAGCATCACTCAGAGGCCGGTTTTGACAGCTCTGCATTGACCAGGACAAGGGGCTCCCAGCCCGCCAGTGCCTAGATGGGCAGCACCTCCTGGACGTCCCCCTGGGCCATGCGAGCCACCCCCCTGGGGGCCAGCACAGATGCTGCGGTGGACACAATGCCTCCTGCCCAAGGTCGGTCCCCCGTCGCCCCCACCCAACATCCTGGTTGCAAGTGAGGGGCCCCTACCCAGACCCCATCCCGTTCTCTGCTCTGGACCCTGGGCTCAGGGTCGAGAGAGAGAATGATACAGGGATGTGGTCCAAGGAGATCACCAAGAAAGGGAGAGCAAGAGGCCCGGAGATTAAACAGACCCACGCAGGCCAGGCACTGTGGCTCACACCTGTCATCCTAGCGCTTTGGGAGGCGAGTGGATTGCTTGAGGCCAAGGGTTTTAGATCAGCCGGGGCAACACATTGAGACTCCATCTCTACAAATTCTTGAGATGGAGTCTCCCTCTGTTGCCCCGCTCGCTGCCTCTGTAGACAGAGCCCTGAAGACCCTTTTCCTTTCCAAGCCCGTAGGCTTCTCCCCAGAACCGCATACCTCAACTCCCACTCTCCCCTCCCTCCAGGCTGCCGTGGAGCTCCGCAATTGTGAGCTACACCCAGGTGAGCCACCACCTCTCAGACCAGAGACAACTGCAGTCTCTTCCTCCCAGGGGAGCTCCCAGGAGCCCAGTGAGTACGCTGCCCCGGCCATCCACTAGCCCAGACCCCACGCTCCAAGGAAGGAGACCACAGTGAGCCCAGATGGTGCAGCAGCTGGCCCCATGGACACAAGACCACCGTCATTTCCCAAGTAGCAACGCTGAGGGAAGGAAGGGCCAACCACCTAGCTTGAGTAAGCCGCAATGGACTTCTCCACGTGGTTTACAGTAACTTAGCTGTGTTCCAGAACTGTCCCTGCCCTGACCTCAAACCCTGAAGGCCTCCAGATAAGGACCCAATCAACTACAGCCTGCAGCCTGAGGGGGTTGCACAATTTCAGGTTTCTCACTTCCTCAGAAACCAAACCCCTTCCCAACACAGATGATCAACAAGGCTGAGAAAAGGGAAGCCTGCCAACCTCTTGACCGTGAGTCCACAGAAGCACTGAACGCGGAGAGGAGGAACAGACTTCCCTCAACGCCCCTTCTCCTACGCTAACCCACTTCCCCTACATGTGAAGACAAAACTGGGAACTTGCCCAACATCAACCGCATCACAAGCTTTGAAACTAGCAAGCAAATTCTGTGAAGTGTTCCCCAACAATCACCAACAGTTCACCTTCCCCAGCAACCCGTCAGCCTCTGGTCAGCTCCCGTCCCACCTGTCTCTTGCCTGGCGGGGTCAGGGTCCCAGGGCCAGCAGGCAGGGAAGGCCCCCACCTCCACTCGGCGCCTGCCCTGCCTAGCAATGACCGGCTCCCTCCCACCCCTATATGCAAACACCGGCTTACTTGGAATTTCCTTCTGGTTTTGACACAGTTTTTCCAAAAATACCACTCGTCTCTCCCCTGATGACAGAAGTTTCTGGTAAAGATGTGTGTTCACTACTGTAGAATAGTACTGAGAGGCCAGGGACCACTAGCTGGTAGGCACTCCCAAGTATCACCCTGAAGTGAGTGAGCCTCCCAGGGAAGGCTGCATGTTTAGAGCAGGGGAAAGAGTCAAGGATGAGAGACCCCCACACACCAATTGTAAAGCGCTGATCCTGTTTATTTGGCAGGAAAACGAGACAATCCAGCAGCCCAGGAGGGACAGGTGGACTTAATCCTCCTCCTCGTCGTCTCCAGCCCCAGCCCCACCCTGGCCCTTCTTGGCATTCTTCCTCTTCACGCGGCCCGGGCGGCCACCCCCGTAGGGAGAGCGCAGAGAGAAGTCGATGTGCTTCTGGGAATCCAGGCGGACAATGAAGGACGGGATGTTCACCACCTGCTTGCGGACCCTGGAAGCAGCGACAAGGTGAGGTGGACTGGAGGAGAAACGGACGCTAACCCCAGCTACCGCACCACTCTTTCCTCTCCACCCACCCCGTGAGGCCGCCACGGCTGCAGACACCAAGGCGCTGCAGGAAGGGTGCACCTGATCCTACGTGCGCCCTCCGGGGTTTTAGGGTATCACCTTAATCCCCAAAAATGCTTCAGATGACTTTCTCAACCCCATTTTATAGGAGAAATCTGAAAGTATCCCACCTAAGACCACAAAGCAAATGAGATGGCCATGTGAGAGCCCCCAAGTTCCGAGTCTGAAATATCGTGAACCCCACACCTGACACTGAGCTGTATTACCACGTGCAGCAGCAATGCCCACAATAACACAGCAACCCGAGGCTACGTCTCCGACGAAAGCATTGACACACAAGGCTCTGCCTACGGCTCACAGGGTTAGTGAAGGGCTGGGGCGAAGATTCTAAACGCAAACATCTTGCCCTCTTTCTGTACAGCTCCTCCCCCTCAATGGTGCCACATTACAGAAAGGGCACACTGAGTACCCAGAACGCAGTCATGGATCGGGGTCTGGAATCAACTTCACAAGCGAGCCAGGAGACAGCTGAACCCACCACCCAAGCGAGGTGAGGCTGGTTCTCTCCCTCCACTGGGGACACCAAGAGCTGTTACCTGTCCAGCTGCCCACATGCCTGGCAGAGGCCTTCACAAGGTGTACGGCTAGAGCCGCAGTGACCCTTGCGCTGGGCTATTGGGGCAAGAGGCTGCCCCAGCTCCCTGGTGAGCTGTGTGCAAGGGTGAATCTGTACCCTCTGGGTGAGTTCACACCCATCACCTCCGAGGGCTGCATAGGAGATAGGGACAGCAGGCTTAGTGAGGGCAACCATCAGAGGGGCAGGTGGAGGAAGATTCAGGTGCCCATCCGAGGTGGTACCTGATATGGCGCTGGCGGATCAGCACGCGAGCGTGGTGGATGGACTTGGCCAAGCCCAGCTTGAAGACCTGGGTCTGCAGGCGTCTCTCTAAGAAATCCTCTATCTTCAGGCCCAGGATGTAATCCAGCTTCATCTTGCCCTCATCCAGCACCCCAATGCGGACCAGCCGCCGCAGCAGGGCGTTGCCTGGGAAGAGTGGGAGGAAACACTGATTCCGCCTTCTGACCTCAGGCTTCTTGGGTTCAAATCCTGGCTCCGCCTCTTGGTAGCTCCATGCCGCGGCGGTGAGGCACAAGTAGTACAGCGCCATCACCGTGACCCATGTCACTGTCAAAACCACCCTACGGGCTGGGAGTGGTGGCTCACACCTGTAATCCCAGCACTTTGGGAGTCCGAGACTGATCACTTGAGGTCAGGAGTTTGAGAGACCAGCCCGGCCAACATGGCAAAAGCCCGTCTCCACTAAGATTACGAAAAATTAGCCAGGCCGTTGGCGCACTGCCTGTAATCCCAGCTATTCAGGAGGCTGAGGAAGGAAAACTGCTTGAACCCAGGAGGCGGAGGTTGCAGTGACCTGAGATGGGGCCACTGCACTCCAGCCTGGGCGACAGAGTGAGGCCCTGTCACAAAACAAAACAATACAAAAAACCAAACTACCCTATGGTTGTCAGGTCATCATTCATAGTAAACTGCAGATGACAGGAGGGCAAAATACACCTGCCTCCTCATCTGAGAGCATACATCCCTCGCTCCACATTCTTAGCAAGAGTAAAGGAAATCACCTCCTTACAAGGACTCAGTCTGCAAAAGACCAAATGCAGCTGCTATTAAGCTACTACCACCGTAACAAAGCACAGTGCTGAAGAGTTCATATCCTCAGCCCAGAAAGCTCTTCTGATTAAGCAGATGTGAGATTGAATCACATTCCGTGCCATAAATAGCAGTATCTATACCTTTTAAGGAGAGAAAAGTAATTTCTAACACTAGAATTTTTCCAGCTAAGTACATGTCATTCATTTTACTATTCTGTAGAAAATTTTCCACCAAAAATATATCTAGTATGTATATAACCTAACAATGCACTGCGTAAAATATCCAACAGATGCCAGCTACTACACCTTTCTTCCAACCCCAGGCTCAGGACGGCTTGCTCCTTACCCTGTCCAAAGCCATGGCTTCTAGCTAATACTCTGGACTGCCCTTGCCCACAGCCCCAGGGCCCTGGGGGCAAACGCCATCCCCTAGGCTCCCGCTCACTGCTATAATCCCACACGCCTTCAGCAAATCAACTGCCCCTTGACTGGGGTAAACACCTCAACCTTTTTTCCTTATGTGCACTTTTATAAAAAGTGGCTCTTACTAGTTACAGCAAACCATTCAAGCAAGCTTTCATAAATAGATCTACATGCATCAGGCACTTCTGATATTCCTGGCACTGTTACCCTCCAAGCAAAGTTTGAAAGAAAGCTAGCTCACTTTGTGAGGACCCAAAGTTTTCCCAGTAGGGAGCAGTTACAGGTAGGGAGAATCAAAATGGAAACACCAGCTGTGTGCATTTCCAGCATCCTATGTCATACTATGGCTTCAATTTTTGTTCTTTTTTAACTCAACATCAGAGGATAAACACCTGAATATCAAAATACAAAAACATGTCCAAAAGGCGATGAAAATGAGTTTGGGATCATTTACCTCTTTGGACACTTCACGCCTTTTTGTCTTTACATTAGAAAATGGAAACTTAAGCCACGCACAGTCCCTTATGCCTGGCCTATAAACCCAATATTTTGGGAGGCTGAGGCAGGAGGATCAGTTGAGTCCAGAAGTTTGAAACTAGCCTCGGCAACACAGTGAGACCGCATTTGTACCAAAACAAACAAAAAAGTAAAACTAAATTAGCCGGGCATGGTGGTACATGGTGGATTGTGGTCTCAGCTACTAGAGCTGAGGAGGATCACTTAAGCACAGGAGGTCCAGGCTGCAGTGAGCCACGACCATGCCACTGTGCTCCAGCCCGGGAGACAAAGTGAGATCGTCACCATTAGGCAAAACAAAGGCATGATTTTAAAAAAATGTTTCATATTTATTATCATTTTTGAGACAGAGTTTCGCTCTCGTTGCCCAGGCTGGAGTGCAATGGCGTGATCTCGGCTCACTGCAAACTCCGCCTCCCGAGATTCTCCTGCCTCAGCCTGGGATTACAGGCATGCGCCACCACGCCCCGCTAATTTTGTATTTTTTCAGTAGAGACTAGGGGGTTTCTCCACTTTGGTCAGGCTAGTCTCAAACTCCCGACCTCGGGTGATCCGCCTGCCTCTGCCTCCCAAAGTGCTGGGATTACAGGCATGAGCCACTGCACTCAGGCCCACATTTATTAAACCATCTATCTCCTGAAAAAGAACAGGAGAGTCAGCCACAGGCAAAACCTTTAAGTATGAAGACAATAGTTTTCAACAGCACAATAAACCTTACACCTTCAACAAAAGCATGTCCTACTGCTGAGGCTCCGCTGGGCCAATGCACCAAGAGAATTTAAAATGCTTTAAAAATGCAAACCAGGGAGGACCTCAGTGGGAAACAGGTCCTTGTCATCATACAAGGCAGTTAGGTATTACAATGCCTTCATTTCTGATCTGAAAAATGGACATGACTCCTACATTTCTTCACAGTTGTGCTGGGGGTGGGGGGGGGGAGTTCGTGTTGTTTTGTGTCTCGCTGTCACCCAGTGCAGTGCCGCGGATCTTGGCTCACTGCAATCTCTGTCTCCCAAGTTCAATCAATTCTCCTGCCTCAGCCTCCCGAGTAGCTGGGATTATAGGCACACCACCATGCTCGGCTAATTTTTGTATTTTTCGTAGAGATGGAATTTCACCACGTTGGCCAGGCTGGTCTCTGACTTGAGGTCTCCTGACCTCAAGTGATCCGACCACCTCGGTCTCCCAAAGTGCTGGGATTACAGGCATGAGCCACCATGCCTGGCCTCTATCTGTTGATTATTAACTGCCAGCCAAATGTTGGCGGCTGTTCAGTCTTAACAGACGAGACTCAGAATCTCGCTAGTCACACATCTTAGTGGGAAAGGCTGGATCTGAATCAAGGCAGGATTACACCAAAGAGCAAACATCCAAGCTCCTCCTTCCTGTCCCTGACTAGGCTAGATGGCTTCATTTACTAGAAAGTGTACTCACCTGAACAACTGTGTACCCCTTGGGAATTTTCACTTCTGCCTTGGAAAACCACAAATAACCCTCAGACACCTGCACCGCTTTCTCACATGACTGTAAGTTTCATTGCAATTAGGATCTATGTCCAGAAAGTCCTCCCTAAAACCAGAACCAGCTGTAGCCCACTCCCCACAGAACCCTGGGATGAATTCCCACCCAGCATCAGTATCTATGGGGGAGGGATCTCCAGCACTTTCATGAGATTATCAACGGGGTCTACAAATTGACGAAAAGAATGAAAGGGTCAGGTGCGGTGGCTTACACCTGTAACCCCAGCACTATGGAAAGCTGAGGTGGATGGATCACTTGAGGTTAGGAGTTGGAAACCATCCTGGGCAACACTGCAAGATCCTGTGCCTATTTAAAGAAAAAGCTTCTAACATCTGCAAGCCTGGGACAAACTGTGATAATCTGTAGCTAAACATGCTCCAGGACTTTCTCAACGCCTAACATGGATGACCACTCTCATGCCTAACAGTCAGGGCTCAGGTGTAGAGACTGCTTTTCACCATAAATCATGACTACCCAAACTCAGGCAAAAGCAGCGTCTCAGGATATACAAATGCCAATCTTGGTCATGCCAATCTGCTGTAGAAAGCACTCCAATAACACCGCATCTCAGAGTAGATTTTAAAACAAGATGGTTAAGATGGTACATTTTCAAGTTAATGTGTATTTCACCACAGTTAGTAAAGTAAGCCTAAGTCTATGTGATCTGCATGCCCTCCTAAAGTCATCACCTGAAATGCTGTTCCCTGAGACATTTTACAGGTTCTCTCCTGTTCAGGCCTTTGCTAAATACCACCTAAATGTCCTTGACCAGCTTAATAAAACAAGCACCAGCCTGGACAACATGGTGAAAACCCATCTCCACTAATAATAGAAAATTAGCCAGGCTTGGTGGCCCATGCCTGTGATTCCAGCTACTTAGGAGGCTAAGACAGGAGAATTGCTTGAACTCTGGAGGCGGAGTTTGCAGTTAGCCAAGATTGCGACAACTACATTCCAGCATGGGCAATAGAGCGAGACTCCGTCTCAAAAGTAAAATTAGCCAGGTGTGGTGGCATGCGCCTGTCTGTAGTCCCAGCTACTTGGGAGGCTAAGATAGGAGAATTGTTTGAACCCAGGAGGCGGGGGTTGCAGTAAGCCGAAATGGCGCCACGGCACTCCAGCCTGGGCGACAGAGCAAGACTCCCTCTCAAAAGACTAAATAAAACGAGAAAACTTAATTAAAAAAACAATAAACCAAGCAAATGTGCAAACCCTGTTATCACCATCACTTAGCCCAGAAATTCCACTTCATAGTCTACTCTCATCCACTAGCAAACAGGCCACATAAACAGAATATAAAGATATAGACGGGTGCCCAGGTGTGCCAGGCCTATCTTTAGCTCTGGTCATTACTAAACTGAAGGTCCAATAACTGGGCAAAAAAGCCACACACCTAAGAAACAGGGCAAAGACTGGTCCAGATACACTTTTCCTACTCCACAAGTGCCACTAAAAGTTAGAAGGCTGGCTCCATTTATCCAATGACACAACTCTCATCACTGGAACAGAGGCAACAGAAGGGAGAATGAACCTCACAAGCCCTGCACCCCATCCCTCTGCTGTGGACTCCCATACGCACCTTCGAACAGACGCCGTGGGTCCTTCTCATCAAGCGTCAGCAGTTCCCGGGCGGCCTTGCGGATCTTGGCCAGGGTAAATTTGACCCTCCAGACCTCACGTTTGTTCCGGAGCCCATACTCGCCTGGTGGGGAGAAGCGGGTGGACAAGTGTAGTCCCACCTACTGGCACAACAACTAGACTGGCAGCTTTGGAATCACAAAACCTTCCTAAACCACGAATAGTACCAAATTTAGGGGACGGACTAGATAGAGTACATGGGCACCTTCATCCACGTGCTAACCGCCTCCCGGAAGCCGAACCACTTCCCGGAAGCCTTGGCCACTCACCGATCAGCTTCAGCTCTTGGTCGAGACGAGATTTCTCGAAGGGTCTCCGCGGGGTCACATAAGTTTTGCGACAAACCCAGCTCCGGGCCACTGGCATGTTGGCTCCGCTTCCCCGTCTGCGCCTGCGCGGGAGAGAAGTGTGAGCGTAAGGGCTCCAAACGGCGCCTGCGCAGTCCCACAACTACGCCAAAACCTCGCGGAGCCCAGATCCGATCTCGCGAGAATAACCTCCAACGCTCTCATAGTCAGTATCTGCCCCCACAACCGTGCTGCACTCCCGTTCAACCACCCTGCTCTGTTTCCTAACGTCTTTAGCTTACTCATGGAAACTCGGAAGGCCCGGGCCACCATCCAACCCAAACCCTAGAGAAAAAGCACACCACCGCACCGCACCTAAGCAAACCACCCGGTCACTGAGAAAGAGGCGCGCAAGCGCCACGGCTGCGCTCTTATAGTAACGCCGGCGTCTCGTGACGTTTTCACGCACCACGCACGTCAGAGCCAATCAGAAGAGGCGTTGGCTGGCTGAGAAGCAGTGGAGACGTGAGGCTGGGCTAGAGCGGCGTGCTAACCTGGGAGGACTAGGTTTTTTCCGGCCAGGGAGTGGAAACCTGAGAAGTAGGGAGAACCTTCCTTCTCCGCCCCTGGACGGTGGTTTTTCTTTTTCTTTCTGAGACAGGGTCTCGCTCCGTCGCCCAGGCTGGAGTGCAGTGGCGTGATTTCGGCTCACTGAGGCCCCGACCAACCTCTCGGGCTCGAGCGATCCTCCCACCTCCTCCCCAGTAGCTGGGATTACAGGCACACGCCACGACGCCCGGGTAGCATTTTTTTTTTTTAACAGTCGGCGTCTTGCCATGTTGCCCAGGCTGGTCTTGAACTCCCGGCCTCGAGAGAGCCTCCCGCCGTGGCCCCCCCTAAAGTGCTGGGATTACAGGCGTGAGCCACCGCGCCCAGCCGAGATTATTTCTGTCACTAACAATAATGTGGCATTCTGGAACGCTATGTGCCACATACTGTTCTAAGAATTTTAAATGTATTTACTCAATCTTCAATACATACTTACAGAGCACTCTCAGAGAAGTTGCCCCCCCACCCATGGTACTATTATTATCAATAGCCACTTAAGGGGTATTAGTACTATTATCAGTAATTTATTTTATTTTTGAGACGGAGTTTTTCGCTCTCGTCACCCAGGCTGGAGTGCAGTGGTGCGATCTCGGCTCACTGCAACCTCCGCTTCCCGGGTTCAATCGATTCTCGTGCCTCAGCCTCCCGAGAAGCTGGGACTACAGGCGCCCACCACCATGCCCGGCTAATTTTTAAATTTTTAGTAGAGACGGGGTTTTGAACTCCTGGTCTCCAACGCCTGACCTCAAGTGATCCACCCGCCTCAGCCTCCCAAAGTGCTAAGATTACAGGTGTGAGCCACCGCGCCTGACCTAGAGTTCTCTTTTTATATATAGTCTGGTTATTGTCTGTCTGTACACCCATCTCTCCACTCCGAATGCGATGGTCTGTCTCCACAGCTCGTGTTCTTCAGTTGTCTTCCCTACGCTGCTGCCTCGGCAGTCACTATCTCCTCAGGAAGCAGTCCCACCCGCCCCTTTCTCTTCCACGGCATCCACACCATCCGGATGCCTGGATTCAAATGCCACGTCACCACTTGCCAGCTGCAGTGCCTTCGACAAGTTTCTCAATCACTCTGTGCCTCAGCGTCCTCCTCTGTAAAACGGCGAATGATGGTAGCGCCTACCTCATAAGCTTGTGAGGATTAAGTGAGAGTCTATCCAGTGTTGAGGAGAGTGGCATAAATAAAGCGCCTAGTGGTAGCTACCATCGTCATTATTGTCATCTGCATTGTACTTCCATATCTTACAAACTACCTTGTTCAGTTTTATGGGTTTTTTGTTTGTTTGTTTTGTTGTTTTGAGACGGGGTTTTGCCATATTGCCCAGGCTGGTCTTGAACTCCTGGGCTCAAGTGATCCACTCGCCTCAGCCTCCCCAAGTGCTGGGATTACAGGTGTAAGCCACCATGCCTGGCCAAATTTTATGCATTTTTGTATCTTGAACACGCGTATATTATTCATCTGGAAGGGGGAAACGTGGAAGGAAAAAACTTCCATAAGTTTTCACTCCCTTCAGGATGAAGTCCAAGCTCCACAAATTCCGGGTGCCTCGTGATTACAGAGATGGTTTTATAATGGTGGTTGAACCTGTAGGTTCTCAAGTCTTAAAAAAGATCTGCGTTTGAACCTCAGCAGTCACTGACGAGCTCTTGATCTTAGGCAAATTAGCCTCTTCAAGAGTGCTAAATGGGAGAAAGTAACAGGACTTTCCTCATAGG
Organism: Homo sapiens; assembly: GCF_000001405.40. Classification (NCBI taxonomy): domain Eukaryota; kingdom Metazoa; phylum Chordata; class Mammalia; order Primates; family Hominidae; genus Homo; species Homo sapiens. Next base: position 173,907 of record NW_003571060.1, on the reverse strand, counting down.
GTTTGATGATTTAGAGTAAAAAAAAAAAAAAAAAGAAAAGAAAACCAGCACAGAGTCTTGTGTACTGAAGGTGCTTAATATCTTAACACAGCTGACTCTGTACAGTCTGGGGGCGAGGGGCACTGACCCCCAGCTCAGCCGAAAACCTCCATATAGGCTGGGCGCGGTGCCTCACGCCTGTAATCCCAGCACTATGTGGAAGGCCAAGGCCGGCGGATCAACTGAGGTCAGGAGTTCGAGACCAGCCTGGCCAACATGACAAAACCTGGTCTCTACTAAAAATACAAAAATTAGGCAGGCGTGGTGGCAGGTGCCTGTAATCCCAGCTACTTAGGAGGTTGAGGCAAGAGCATCGCTTGAACCCAGGACGTGGAGATTGCAGTGAGCCGAGATCGCACCACTGCACTCCATCCTGGGCGACAGAGCAAGACTGCCTCAAAAAAAAAAAAAAAAAAAAGAAAGAAAATCTGCATATAACTTTTGACTTCCCCAAAACTTAACTACTAGGCCAGGCACCGTGGCTCACACCTGTAACCCCAGGTGGGATTTGGGAAGCTGAGGTGGGCAGAGCACTTGAGCCCAGGAGTTCAAGACCAGCCTGGGCAACACGGCAAAACCCAGACTCTACAGAAAACAGAAAAATTAACTGGGTGTGGTGGTGTGTGCCCGTAGTTCCAGCTACTTGGGAGGCTGTGGTGGGAGGACTGCTTGAGTCAAGGAGGTTGAGGCAGCAGCGAACTAAGATCATGCCCCTGCACCCCAGCCCAGCTGGCAGAGCAAGACACTGTCTCAGGATTTAAAAAAAACATTACTCGTAGTTGACTGGAAGCCTTACCAATAACATAGTCAATTAACACATATTTTATACGCTATATGTATTATATTCTGTATTCCTATGATGAATTAAGCTAGAGAAAAGAAAATATTGGCCGGGCGTGATGGCTCATGCCTGTAATCCCAGCACTTTGGGAGGCTAAGGCGGGCGGATCACCAGGTCAGGAGATCGAGACCATCCTGGCTAACACGGTGAAACCCCATCTCTACTAAAAATACAAAAAATTAGCCGGGCGTGGTGGCAGGCGCCTGTAGTCCCAGCTACCGGGGAGGCTGAGGCAGGAGAATGGCGTGAACCCGGGAGGCGGAGCTTGCAGTGAGCTAAGATCGCGCCACTGCACTCCAGCTTGGGTGACAGAGCGAGACTTCGTCTCAAAAAAAAAAAAAAAAAGAAAATATTAAGAAAATTCTAAAAAAGAGAAAATATATTTACTATTCATTAAGTGGAAGTGGATCATCATAAAGGTCTTCATCCTTGTCTTCATTCTGAGTAGGCAGAGGTGCAGAAAGAAGAGGAGGGTTTGGTCTTGCTGTCTCAGGGTGCCAGAGGTGGAGGAGGTAAAAGGCAAAGCAGGAGAGGCAGGCATGCTCTGTGTAACCTTTACTTTTTTCAATCTGCATAAAAGTGGACCCGAGCAGTTCAGACCCATGTTGCTCAAGGGTCAACTGATGAGATCTGGCCTCACCCTGATCCTCTTCAGAAGCATGGTCCAGTCATATGGCACCAGGCCCTCTTCCACAAACCCCTCATGCTTCCTCCTCTCTCTCTCTCACTCAGGCTGGAGCCCTCTAGCCCTTCCTCTCTGAAAGGAGCACGGGTAATATAAGAGGAACCCTTGGTTTCCATCATGGGTTGCCAAGGACCAGCTGGGCATGCTTGGGGAGCTGAATTCCTTTCCTTTTGTACAAGTGTAATAAAATCTAATTATGCCCCATCCATAGGACGCAAAACCATGTAGCTGTTGGCAAAAATGAGACAAGCCTGGGCATATCCAATAAGCAAGATGCAGAAGTGTGCATAGTATGCTACAATTTTCATTAATAAAAATGACCTTAACGTATGTATATTTATTTAAAATATGCTTAGAAAGTCATGTAGGAGAAATTATAATTTCCAAATTGTCTCAGCCCTGATTTAAAAATTATAGTTTAAGCCACTCATTTATTTAGCAACAATGTATTGACTGCTTACTGTGTGCCAGGAACTGTTCTTGGACCTGGGGATACTGCATGAACAAGGGTAAATAAAACAAAAACCAAAACCAAAACCTTGTCCTTAACTAGAAACAAATGCCAATCACCTGGTGAATGGATAAATAAAATGGGGTTATGTCCATACAATGGAATATCCAGCAGTAAAGAGGAACAAAGCTGGCCGGGCACGGTGGCTCATGTCTATAATCCTAGCACTTTGGGAGGCTGAGGTGGGCGGATTGCCTGAGCTCAGGAGTTCGAGCCTGGGCAATTATGGTGAAACCCTGTCTCTACTAAAATACAAAAAATTAGCCTGACGTGGTGGCAGGCGCCTGTAATCCCAGGTACTTGGGAGGCTGAGGTGGGAGAATCGCTTGAACCCACTTGAACCCAGGAGGCAGAGGCTGCAGTGGGCCGAGATTGTGCCACTGCACTCCAGCCTGGGCAACAGAGCAAGACTCTGTCTCAAAAATAAAAAAAATAAATAATAATAATAATAATAAGCAAGGAAGAGAATGCACATGGCCAGTTCATGAGGAAGCTGCAAAGTAGGACCTTTGAGTTTTACTCTGAGATGGAAAACTCCAGGAAAGTTTTAGACAGAGCTGTGACATGGTCTGACTTATCTTTTAATATGATGATTCTGGCCGGGCGCGGTGGCTCACGCCTGTAACCCCAGCACTTTGGGAGGCCGAGGCGGGTGGATCACAAGGTCAGGAGATCGAGACCATCCTGGCTAACATGGTGAAACCCCGTCTCTACTAAAAATACAAAAAATTAGCCAGGTGAGGTGGCGGGCGCCTGTAGTCCCGGCTACTAGGGAGGCTGAGGCAGGAGAATGGCGTGAACCTGGGAGGCGGAGCTTGCAGTGAGCAGAGATCGCGCCACTGCACTCCAGCCTGGGCGACAGCGAGACTCCGCCTCAAAAAAAAAAAAAAACAAAAAAACAAAAAAAAAAACGATGATTCTGGCTGCTCTGTTGAAAACAGACAACAGAGGGGCAAGAATGGAAGGCAGGGGATGAGTTAGGAAGCTATCAATATCAAATGAGCCATGGTTTGGTTTTTCTAAGATACTGGCAGTGAAGGTGGAGGGTGGGGCCTAACTGTGGATCCACAGTGCTTTGAACATGGCACCTATAGAATTTGTTGACTGACAACATGGGGGGACACCAGTCACAAAAGTTTTTTTTTGTTTGTTTGTTTTAAATAGAGATGAGATGAGGTCTCACTATGTTCAGCCAAGGCTGGTCTCAAACTCCTGAGCTCAGCGGCTCAACTGATCTTCCCACCTTGGCCTCCCAAAGTGCTAGGATTACAGGTCTGAGCCACCACATCTGGCCACAGGAGTTTTAAATGAGGAACTTTTCAGAGGAGAGACTCATGACAGAGGGAATGAGACTTCTAAGTACTTTGTTGTAGAGAGGAGAAAGGGTGGAGAATAGACTTACAAAGCCAATTATGAAGCAGGCACAAAGAGAGTATTGGCCAGACAGGGGTTAGCGTCATTTTTTTTCTTTTCATTTTTTTGAGATGGAGTTTAGCTCTTGTTGCCCAGGCTGGAGTGTAGTAGTGCGATCTTGGCTCACTGCAACCTCTGCCTCCCGGATTCAAGTGATTCTCCTGCCTTAGGCTCCTGAGTAGCTAGGAGTACAGGCGCATGCCACCACGCCCGGCTAATTTTTTTTTTTTGTATTTTTAGTAGAGATGGGGTTTCACCATATTGGCCAGGCTGATCTCAAACTCATCTGCCCACCTCAGCCTCCCAAAGTGCTGGGATTACAGGTGTGAGCCACCACACCTGGCCCAGTGTCATATTTTAAATTAATCTAAACTTACAGGAAATTGAGATTCTATGAAGTCTGTTTACTGGGAATGGCAAGAAAGAGGGGAGATGGGAGTCTCTCTAAACCTATTCTGGTTCCAGAGGCTGCTCAATTCACACAAAAAAGAGAAAGAATGAAACATGGGGGGAAGAAATGGAAGAACTAGAGGTGGAGACTTTCAGCCCCAGAATTTTACCATGTGGAAGTTTTTGTTTGTTTTTGTTTTTTTGAGACAGTGTCTAGCTCTGTCGCCCAGACTGGAGTGCAGTGGCGTGACCTTGGCTCACTGCAACCTCCACCTCCCAGATTCAAGTGATTCTCCTGCCTCAGCCTCCGGAGTAGCTAGGATTACAGGCGCCCGCCACCACGCCCGGCTAATTTTTGTATTTTTCATAGAGGCGGGCCATGTTGGCCAGGATGCTCTGGAACTCCTGACCTCATGATCCGCCCGCCTTGGTCTCCCAAAGTGCTGGGATTACAAGCATAAGCCACCACGCCCAGACTCACCATGTGAATGTATTACACTGACAAAATAAACGTGACAAAATAAAACTGCACATTGATAAGATAAAGGTGTAATTATTGGAATAGTGGTAGTGTTCTAGTACTTTCTTAAGCAAAAACATGGGTAAATGATTTCATAAGTGCAAATTTTTTACAAATACATGTGTTTTAGCTTTTATAAAAATTGCAGAATATAACACATCCAAAAAAGAGTCTAAAATATAAATATACAGTATCAAAAAAATTCACCACTACCCAGGCCATGAAAAAGCAGAACGCCTTCCAGAGTCCTTCCTTTCTCCCCAGGCTCTGAACTCCTAAAATTACAATACTCATTTCCTTTCATAATATATATATATATACACACACATATATATACATACATGTGTGTATATTTACATATATACACACACACATATATATATTTTTTGAGACAGGTTCTTGCTCTGTCTCCCAGGCTGGAGGGCAGTGGTGCAATCACAGCTCACAGCAGCCTCAACTTCCCAGGCTCAAGGGATCCCTGGCTAATTTTTTTTTAAATTATTTTTTGTAGAGACTGGGTATTACAATGTTGCCAGAGCTGGTCTCAAACTCCTGGGCTCAAGCGATCCCCCTGCCTTGGCCTCCAAAAGTTCTGTGGGATTACAGGTGTGGGTCATCGTGCCCAGCCTATATTTTTATTTATAACGTTTGTATGCATCTGGGAAATTTCATAGAAATCTTTTCAAAAGGAAGTTTAGTGAGGTAGAAAGAGTGCAGATTTAGGAGTCAGAAAAACCAATTTTGAAAGGCCAGGCCTGCTATTTACTAAGTGTGTGACTTTGGGCAAGTCAGTCCCCCTCCTCCAGGCCTTTTTCTCACCTGTACATGCAGATGAGACCATCCACGGGTTCCAGGACTGTCGCAAACATTCAAATCATGAACATTTATATACCAAGTTTATTGAGACCTCCTGAGACTTAAACCCTGTAGAAAACAGATGAATCAAACCCAGGCCCCATTCTCGGGAAGCTCACAGTGTGAAAATAGGTAACTACAAAAACACAGCCAATAAGTGCTTTGAAACAAGGAAGAACATAAAAAAGATGTAGTGTTCGAAAACCTGGAATCAAAAACTAACCGCGGAGAAAGGTAGGAGGATGTTCTAGACTCCCAGAGAAGAGCTGGGGAACATCCAGAAAGGCTCTTGCTGCCGACACAGCCACATCCCCTAGGTCTCTGGAGTTCACTGCAGGCTGGCCCATTGCAGGGAGGTGTAGACCACCTTACCATCAGGCTGCGGAGAACAGAGGAGCAGGGTCTTTCTGACGCTGGTTCCAAGGCGCCCAGCAGCAACCAGGTCTTGGAGTGGGATGGTGTCCTCAGGGGCCCAGCACTGAGCGATATAATGGGCGTGGAAGCGGAGGGGGTCACCTGGGGGAAGGAGAGAGGCACTGAAGCAGTGACCAATGGCAGACGGCTGGACGCCACGGGAACGACCACTGGGAGGAGATCTGAGATCATTTCAGCCATCACTATAGATACTCTAAAACAGATGCTCTTGGACACAACTATTCCACTTCTAGGCTTTTTTTTTTTTTTTGAGACAAAGTCTCGCTCTTGTCCCCCAGGCTGGAGTGCAATGGCACGATCTTGGCTCACTACAACCTCTGCCCCCTGGGTTCACATGATTCTCCTGCTTCAGCCTCCCGAGTAGCTGGAAATACAGGCACCCACCACCACGCCCAGTTAGTTTTAGTATTTTTAGTAGAGATGGGGTTTCACCATGTTGGCCAGACTGGTATCAAACTCCTGACCTCAGGTGATCCACCTGTCTTGGCCTCCCAAAGTGTTGGGATTACAGGCGTGAGCCATTGCGCCCAGCCTGATGTCTAACTACTTCTAAGTGAATCTTCTGGATCACAGTAATCATTTAATAAAAGTCGTTAAACTGCTTGCCCAATGAGTTCGGGAGCTCCCAAATGTTTCCTGTCTGTCTATGAATTTCAGAGGCTAAGAGAAAGTGAGACAAAAAAGAAAAATGCAGCTGGGCCTATAATTCCAGCACTTTGGGGGGCCGAGGTGGAAGGATTGCTTGAGCCCAGGAATAGGGACCAGCCTAAGCAACAAGAGACCCCACCTCTATTAAGACAAAAAAAAAAAAAAGAAAAACGCAGAATACATTGGGATCGTATGGAAAGGCACAGCAACCAGAGGCCCCAACCCATACTCACCAGGATAGACCAGGAAGTCACCTCCGAACTTGCCAGCCGCACTGAGGAAGAAGCCTCGCTCCCACAGGTCTCTGTAGATACTGTAGCGCAGCTCGTGGGCAGGGCGGCCGGCGTGGGGCCAGTCTTTAGACTGGACACGCCAGTCCAGGGGCCTGGCCTTGACCGGTCGAGGCCTGGCAGTGGCCAGCTGGACAAGGAGAGCAGATCTGGGCAAGGGGGCTACCCCATTTGAGGGTCCTGCTTGGGAAGACGAGGGGCCTGGTGGGGAGTACAGAGAAGAGTTTGGTAAATTCAAGGGGTAAAGTCTTCTCACCCTCAGGGAGACCCAGGCACTGGATTCCCAGCTAAAATTCCTAAAAGATCTCTCCTCTCCTTCCCGTGGTCCCTGGACTCCACCTCCCATGCTCACCAGCTTCCTCCTGCTCTCCCGAAGCCTGGCCATCACTGGTCTCATCCTCTTTGGCAGCCTGGCTCGAGCCGGCCTCCTGGCTTGAGCTGGCCCCTGAAGCCTGTTCTAGTTTCTGCTTCTTAGCAGCCTGGCCCTCCGTAATCTTCTCCAGGAGCTCCTGACGACGGGTCTCCCGGGCCTCAGCTGCCAAGGCGCTCTGCTCCTGGAAGCTCTCCTCTTGCTGGCGCTTGAAGGATGTCAGGGCCTGAGAAGCACACTTCGCTGGAACCTCCAAGCTTATGGTCCCTTCAGAAGCCAGGAAACTTGACTCCCAGGTCCCGCTCCCACCGAACCCGAGTTCGAGCCCCGCCCCCTTACCAGGCTGTGGTGCCGAGAGTCTGGACGCGGGGCGCTGACCAGAGTCACGGCGCCGATCTCGGCCAAGAGCCGCGCCTCTTCGGGCATCAGCAGCAGCGGGAGGCCCAGGCGCGAGTTCTGGCGGGGCCCGCGGGGCAGGGCGCCTACCGTGCGGCCCCCCACACCCAGGCGCTCCCGGAGGGCCTGCACCGCCTCGGCTCCCCACACCAGGGAGCGGCCGTTCGCCACCTCCACCACCAGCATCCTCCTGCGGGAGCCGGGAGGCAAAGCAGTTACCGAAACAGCTGCGCGCCGCGGACCGCTGCAGCGCACCCAAAGCCTCCGGGGTCTCGGCGAAGCCCCGCCCCTAGGCCTCAGGGGGCGGGGCCTCGCTCAGCCGCCGTTCACCACCTGCTGGGCCCGAGCGCCAGGCCCCGCCCCCGGGCGATCCCACCAGGCCTCGCGGCCGCCGGAGACGAGACGCCGGAGACAAGCCCCCGACCCTCTCCCCTCGCCAAGCCCCCAGGGTCCCGCTCTACCCTTGTGACCCTGCGGTCGGCACCCGCTCTGTGCCCGCACTGCCGTACCTACCATTGCGCCTTGGAGCGTGAAAAACAAACCTCCGCAAGCGCGGCGACACGCCCCCTTACAAAGGTCCATTTTGGCACCACCCTCTTGCAAAGTGGGCGTCCCCCTTCGGGTGTTCCCGTCAGCGGTCAGAAGCTCTGGAGGCTAAGGCACCGCCGAGGCCACACCCTCTTCCGGACGCTCGAGCCTTCGCTCCTCCTCTTTCCGAACGACTGTGATTCGGCTTTCGGACCTCCTCGCTCTCAGACTCCCACAGTACAAAACCCTGCCCCCTCCCGAGCACAGGAAGTTCGGCGTTCGGGCGTCCTCGGCTCCACCGAATCCGCAGCCCCGCCCCCTTCTCGAACGCCAGCAATTTGACGTTCGGGTGTTCTCGGCTCGGCCGAATCCGTAGCCCCGCCTCCTCCCGGACGCAATAGGTTCGGCGTTCGGGCGTCATCGGCTCCCGGCAGCCTCGCGGCCTGTGGCCCCGCCCCCTCCGAGCGCCAGCGCACCCCAGTTGGGGAGTTCCCGCCCTACGACCGAACCCCACAGCCGAAAGCCCCGCCCCCTGGACACCCGCCGTCCACTCTCCGCTCGGGCGGGCTCACCCCAATTGGGAGCGCTCAGTCCGCCTCCTTGCCTCCCTTCAGAATGTCCCACTGTCCACCGATAGAACCAGCGAGTCACCTCATAAACAGTAATTCGCAGTCGAGGTGGAGCCACCCACTGCGCACCGCGCCACGCGCTCCTTGCTCCACCCCCTCATGCCGACACCCTCGTCAACTTCGTCATCCCGCCCCATCAGCGCCGCGGGAAGTCAGGTCCCGCCCCTCGCAGGACCGAAGCCCCGCCCTCCTCCCGCGGGGGCCACCTTGGCTCCGCCCCACTGAGCGCACCTCCCTCTGCCGCTTCCTCTCCTCTACTTGGGAACTTGAGGATCGTCACCCTGGCCCGGTCCCGTAGGCGCACGCCGGCCCTCGGGGTTCCGCCCCTTTGAGGGCAAGTCGCTTTCGCCCCGCCCCCTTGTAAATACTCATGGGTGTCTGGCGAACCTGTTGACTCCGCCTATCATCCTAGCGTCACTTGTACCCAACTATCTACGAAGTAAACCGAAGCTTGTGGCCCCACCCACATCCGGCCGAGTCTGTGGCCCCGCCCACATCGGAACAGTGACCCTAAGGACTCGACTACCTCCGAAGAAAGCCGAAACATGTGGCTCCGCCCACAGTGGCCTCAGCTCTCCGTTCTCGACTATTGCCGAAGTGAGCCGAAGTTTGTGGCCCCGCTTCCGGAGAACTCAAGCTCCCGATTGTGCCCGAAGGAACCCGAAGGGAGACCCCGCCTCATTCCTCACGCCGAGCTCCAGACCCCGCCTCCTTTCCAGAGCCCGTCTGTTCCCCTTCGGGTCCAAAGCTTTTGGCTCCTCCTTGTTCCGAGCCCGAAGGCCCGCCCCTTCACGTACTCGGAGCTCGGATCCCAGTGTGGACCTGGACTCGAATCCCGTTGCCGACTCGCGCTCTCGGCTTCTGCTCCGGGGCTTCTTCCCTGCCCGCCCGGGGCCCTGACCGTGGCTTCTTCCCCGGCCTGATCTGCGCAGCCCGGCGGGCGCCCAGAAGGAGCAGGCGGCGCGGGGGCGCGCTGGGCGGGGGAGGCGTGGCCGGAGCTGCGGCGGCAAGCGGGCTGGGACTGCTCGGCCGCCTCCTGCCCGGCGAGCAGCTCAGGTGGGCCAGGGTGGCGGCGCCCAGTGGCGAGGCGAGGTTACACGGCGGCAGGGTCTCTGCGGGCTGGCGGGTGCGGGGCGGCCCCGGAGGCGCGTTGGAACTCGGGGCTGGCGCAACCGCCTGTGGCTCTGCCGGGGATGCGCTGGGGTGCGCGGGACGGGTTGGGGCTGGGCCTGGGCCTGGGCCTGGGGAGGGGAGGGTGTTCGATCCCCGGGTTCTCAGTAGGAGAGGGGTGTGGAGCTCCGAAGGAGGTGCAGGTTGGAGACCCGGGCTCCTCTGGGTGGTCTCGAAGGAGAAGGGCTGGGGGGTCCGGATATCTGGTTTCACAAGGGCCGGGGGATGGGGGATCCAAAGAGGGGGTCTGGGTTCCTGGATCCTCGCTGGAAGAGGGGGCTCGGAGGTCTAGATTCCTGGGCTGTCGAAGAGGAAGGGTCCGGGAGGGGTGCCGTTTCTGGGTTTTTAAAAGAGGGGCGTCTTCAAATCTGGGTCCCCAGTATGGGTGCGGGGAGTAGCTTTGATTTCTGCGTTCGCAAAGGAGGGGCTTGGGTGCTGGGAGATCCCCACACTTTCCTGGGTTCTCCAAGGACAGGAGAGCTGGAGGCCTGTGCGCTCAAAGGAGGGGCTGGGGGTGGATTCCTGTCTCCTCCAAGGAGGAAGGGGCTGGAGTCTGGGTTGCTAGGTTCTCAAAGGAGAGGAGCTGAGGCTCATACTCCATCATCCTCAAAAACTGGGGTCTAGAAGGCTGGGTTCCTGGATCCTCGAAGAGGGAGGAGGCAGGGGGCCTGGATTCCTGGGTTCTCACTGTGAATCTCTGCCCCTCCCCCAGACCATGTCGCCTGAAGAATGGACGTATCTAGTGGTTCTTCTTATCTCCATCCCCATCGGCTTCCTCTTTAAGAAAGCCGGTGAGTCAGGCTCCCTCCCCAGTGGAAAATAAAGGGGGGGGACCCTCTGGAAGGTTCCAGGCTTATGCTGTCCCTTCCCCCTGCAGGTCCTGGGCTGAAGAGATGGGGAGCAGCCGCTGTGGGCCTGGGGCTCACCCTGTTCACCTGTGGCCCCCACACTTTGCATTCTCTGGTCACCATCCTCGGGACCTGGGCCCTCATTCAGGCCCAGCCCTGGTGAGAATTTGGTGGAGGGAGGAGAGGGAGAGGAGGGGAGAGGGGGAAGCAACCTGTTTCCTCTTTGAGTCTTTTTCAGCTTCTGCCTCATGTCTAGCTGTCTCTTGTTGATCAGCTCATTTCTCTGTTTCATGTTTGTTTGTTTGTTTTTCTTTCTTTCTTTCTTTCTTTCTTTCTTTCTTTCTTTCTTTCTTTCTTTCTTTTTGAGATGGAGTTTCGCTCCTGTTGCCCAGGCTGCAGTTCAGTGGCACGATCTTGGCTCACTGCAACCTCCACCTCCCGGGTTCAAGCGATTCTCTTGCCTCAGCCTCCCAAGTAGCTGGGATTACAGGCATGCTCCACCATGCCTGGCTAATCTTGAATTTTTAATAGAGCTGGGGTTTCTCCATGTTGGTCAGGCTGATCTCGAACTCCTGACCTTGTGATCTGCCCACCTCAGCCTTCCAAAGTGCTGGGATTACAGGCGTGAGCCACCGCATCCGGCCTTCATCTGCTTTTCTTTCTCCCCTGCCTTCTGCGTCTGGTCCCTGTGTGTTTGTCCCAGTCCGCTACATCCATGTCATGGAGAGAGGTGGACAGTGTGTCTGCTGGCCTGGCCACCGTTCATATTCATTCATATCCACCTCTCTCTTCTTGAGCCCTGGACCTCGGAAATAAAGAAAAAGTGGAGGATTGCAGGGTCTTCACCCGAAGCTTCTCTTAACCTCATTCTCTGTTGGTGTGTGTTTCTATGTGGCTGAGCCTCTTCTCCCACTGTTTCAATCATACTCATTCGGTCCCTACATCCACCCTCCTGTCCTCTCTGCCCTTCTGTGTTTCTGTCTCTAAACGAATGGGGAGAGCTGGGGGAGGATTGGTGGCTGGACTCGTGGAGTGAGTGGCCAAGGCCGAGACTTCTGTGCCCAACACAGTGCGCCTCCTGCTTTTGCCCAGCTCCTGCCACGCCCTGGCTCTGGCCTGGACTTTCTCCTATCTCCTGTTCTTCCGAGCCCTCAGCCTCCTGGGCCTGCCCACTCCCACGCCCTTCACCAATGCCGTCCAGCTGCTGCTGACGCTGAAGGTCAGACTCGGGGCTTGCCACTCCCCTCCAGCCTCCCTGTGGGCCCCTTCACCTCCCACTTTACCTCCCCCTTCAGTGGCTCCCCGGGATTTTACCTCCAACACACCCTGGGGGTGGGACGTCACCTCACTTGCTGCCCTGGGCACAGCATTCCCCATTCACATGCCCTTGGGCAGGTCTTCACCTCCCAGCTCCTCCTGGGGTGAGGAAATAACCCACATAGGGTAACAGTAGGTGCCATTGGGTGCTTGCGGTGTGCCAGAGGCCCAGCTGGGTGGTTTACCAACATGCTGTCCTTGAATCTCTGTAGCCAGCTATTTTGCAAAGGAGAAAAACCAGCTCTGGGGAGAAGGTACTTGGTGAAGGGAACAAAACTAGGGCATCCAGGTCTGGCTCCTAATCACCTGGGAAGAGGGGTAAAAACAGAATCCTAGGGCCCACCCCAGACCCACAGAGTCATGGTTTCCTACTGGCGGCTTATCCGTGAACACAGCAGTCATGCTAGGTAGGGAGTGGCCTTCCCAGCATTCAGTGTGCCCTGTGGGAGCTCAGTGGTGGCAGGAGTAGGTTGGATGAGAGAGGGGTTCGTGGAGGAGCATTTCAGGCCGCAGGATGTGTGGAGGGGAGCAGGCTGGGTTCCACAGGCTACACCAGCCACATCCACTTTCTGGGACGAGCAAAAGGGAACAGGCAGCAGGGCTGACACCGTGCTAGGCCTGGCTGGAGACCGTGAGGACATTGGACTTCTTCCCGTGGAGGATTGAGATCTGCTGGAAGAGGGGATTTTTGGTTTGCTGCCAGAAGAGGCAATGTGACCAGTTTTAAATGTTTAAAAATACTCGTTCTGGCTGGGCACAGTAGCTCACGCCTGTAATGCCAGCACTTTGGGAGGCTGAGGCAGGCGGATCACCTGAGGTCGGGAGTTCAAGACCAGCCTGACCAAAATGGAGAAACCCTGTCTCTACTAAAAATACAAAAGATTAGCTGGGCGTGGTGGCACATACCTGTAATCCCAGCTACTCGGGAGGCTGAGGCAGGAGAATTGCTTGAACCCAGGAGGCGGAGGTTGTGGTGAGCTGAGATCGTACCATTGCACTCCAGCCTGGGCAACAAGAGCAAAACTCCATCTCAAAAATAAATAAACAAATAGAAATACTCATTCTAGGCCAGCTGCGGGTGGCTCACGCCTGTAATCCCAGCACTTTGGGAGGCTGACGCGGGTAGATCACCTGAGGTTAGGAGTTTGAGACCATCCTGGCCAACATGGTAAAACTCCGTCTCTACTAAAAATACAAAAATGAGCCGGGTGTGGTGGCTCACACCTGTAATCCCAGCTACTCAGGAGGCTGAGGCAGGATAATTGCTTGAACCTGGAAGGTGGAGGTTGCAGTGAGCCAAGATCCCGCCATTGCACTCCAGCCTGGGCCTTCCCGGGCAAGATTCCATCTCAAAAAAAAAAGAAAAGAAAAGAAAGAAAACTCGTTCTGGATGCTGAAGGAGAATTGAAGTGGAACAGGGCAAGATGGGATGGACTCAGATAAAGGGATCCTCCTTTGTCCGAGTCCAGGTGACAAACTGTGGTGGCTTGATACAGGCCGTTGGCTGGCTGTGGGTAGGTCTGAGTTGCAGCAGGAAACGCGCATTTAGGATGACTGAAGGAGTGGCCACCAATTGGGCAGGATGTAGAAGAGCAAGAAGGGATGGTGCCTGAACCCCAGCCCGGCAGAAGGAGCCGTTCCCAACCCTAGGCCCAGGGGAAATGGGTCAGGTTGTGGTACCTGGATGGAAAAAGGGTTGTGTAGGCCTGGTGCAGTGGCTCATACTTGTATAATCCCAGCGCTTTGGGAGGTCATAGTGGGAGGACTGCTGGAGGCCAGGAGTTTAAGACCAGCCTGGGCAATATAGTGAGACCCTGTCTCTACAAAAAATTAATTTTTTAAATGTTATTTATTTTTAAAGATGGAGTCTCGCTCTGTTGCCCAGGCTGGAGTGCAGTGGTGTGATCTCACTGCAACCTCTGCCTCTCGGGTTCGAGCGATTCTCCTGCCTCAGCCTCTCGAGTAGCTGGGACTACAGGCGCCCACCACCACGCCTTGCTAATTTTTATATTTTTAGTAGAGATGGGGTTTCACCATGTTGGCCGGGCTGGTCTCAAACCCCTGACATCAAGTGATCTGCCTGCCTAGGCCAACCAAAGTGCTAGTGTTATAGGTGTGAGCCGTCACACCTGGCCCTAAATTTTTTTTTTTTTTTTTTGAGACGGAGTTTCACTCCTGTTGCCCAGGCTGGAGTGCAATGGTACGATCTTGGCTTACCGCAACCTCCGCCTCCCAGGTTCAAGCGATTCTCCTGCCTCAGCCTCCCGAGTAGCTGGAATTACAGGCACTCACCACCATGCCCGGCTAATTTTTTGTATTTTTAGTAGAGACAGGGTTTTTCCATGTTGGTCAGGCTGATCTCGAACTCCCGACCTCAGGTGATCCGCCTGCCTCGGCCTCCCAAAGTGCTGGGATTACAGGCGTGAGCCACCGCGCCCGGCCAAAATTATTTTTTTTAAAGGGTGTGTAGAGCCACCCACCTTGAAATGATCTATCAAGGGTGACAGCCAGCCCAAGGCCATCTTACAAGGGAATAAAAGCCCTACCCTCCCTCTCCTGACTTTGTCTCCAGCCAGGGATTTCTACTGACAACCCAGCCACAAGCTGGAAGAAGGAGATCTATTGATATAGGGTGGACCTTGGGACTGGTGGGAAAGGGTGGAGAGTACAACATATTCAGCTCAGTAGTGGAGATGGAAAGAGGCAACAGACTCAAACTTAAGGGATTTCAAGGCGGGCAGATCACTTGAGGCCAGGAGTTCGAGACCAGCCTGGCCAGCTGAGGCATGAGAATTGCTTGCGCCCCCAGGAGGTGGGGGTTGCAGTGAGCCGAGATCACACCAGTATACTCCAGCCTGGGTGACAGAGCAAAACTTGTCTCAAAAAAAAAAAAAAAAAAAAGAGAGAGAGATTAAAGGATCGGATTTGGGGAGTGAGGGAGATTTTTGGCTTGAACAATTTGGTGGCCTGTTGTTTGAGGGGAGACACTAGAAGAGGGTCTACCTTGTGGGGTGGGTAACATCATGTTCCGTTTCCAGTGCGTTTGGGGTGCCTGGAGACATCCGAGTATAAATGCCAATAAGCCACTTGATTGGATAGGTCTGGGGCTGGGGTAGCGTTTGGGCGTCCTCAGCGTGTGGATAGTATCGAAACCTCCGTGATTGCGTGAGAGCAGGTAAGCACAGAACAGGGAAAGGGGAGGAGGGCCTGGGACTGAGCCCTGGGGAACACCGCCCAGCTAGAGGCGTTACACACAACCTAGATGGGCAGAGCTGCGGGCACCCAGCACCCCTTGGCTGCCGAGGGCAGCCGCGCAAGGGAGATGGGTGTGGGGAAGGGCCCAGAGTCTGACCTGGCCCCTTGCCCACCCCCTTCTGCCCAGCTGGTGAGCCTGGCCAGTGAAGTCCAGGACCTGCATCTGGCCCAGAGGAAGGAAATGGCCTCAGGCTTCAGCAAGGGGCCCACCCTGGGGCTGCTGCCCGACGTGCCCTCCCTGATGGAGACACTCAGCTACAGCTACTGCTACGTGGGAATCATGACAGGTGAGTGGGGCTGCCCTAACAACTCTGCCGCTCTGTCTCCTGTGTCCCCTTCCGCCCTGAGTGCCTGTTCTGTGTTCCCGCCCTGCCCAGGGCAACCTCCATCCTAGCATCTGCTGCTGTGAGGGTGGGCATGTGTCTGGGTCTACGTCTCACACCTCCGCTGGACCAGAGCTGCTTTGGGGTAGAAGCTGGCTGTCTCAACCTAAGCAATTCCTTGCTCTTCTCCTTGTAGCGTATTGGGAGCAAAGAGAAGAGATAAAGGAGGTAAAGATCTATGTCAACCTGATGTTTTTGCTTCCCAGACAACAAATATTCACGGCTTAGGGTCCACTTTCAGCTTAAGGAAATATTTTTCATCTGGGCGTGGGGGCTTATGCCTATAATCCTAGCACTTTCGGAGGCTGAGGCGAGAGGATTGCTTGAGGCCAAAAGTTCAAGATCAACTTGGCCAACATAGCAAGATCCCGTCCCTTTATTTTAAACCTTTATTTTTAAAAAATAAATAAATATAAAATTAAAAGGGCCGGGCGCAGTGGCTCACGCCTGTAATCCCAGCACTTTGGGAGGCTGAGACAGGCAGATCACCTGAGGTCAGGAGTTTGAGACCAGCCTGGCCAACATGGTGAAACCCCGTCTCTACTGAAAATACAAAAATTAGCCGGGCATGGTGGTGTGTGCCTGTAATCCCAGCTACTTGGGAGGCTGAAACTGGAGAATCGCTTGAACCCACGAGACGGAGTTTGCAGTGAGCCAAGATCACACCACTGCACTCCATCCTGGGCAACAGAGCAAGACTCCATCTCAAAAAATACATATGTATGTGTGTGTGCATGTGTGTATATATATGTATGTGTGTATGTGTATATATATGTGAAATTTTAAAAAGAAAATATTTTTCATTAATGTTTACCTCATCAAAGGTTTTTTTTCCAATAACAGCTTTAGGGAACTCTAATTCACATACTCATCCACTTAAAACATACAACTCTTGGCTTCTTTAATTTCCTGGAAAAAAAAAAAAACACAAAACATACAACTCCCTGATTTTTAGTATATTCACCGAGTTGTGCAGACATGACCATTGTGTAGTTATATTCAGAACAGTTTCATACCCTGCAAAGAAACCCCATGTCCATCATCCCACAAACCTCCATCCATCCCTGGTAACCAGTAATTGACTTTCTATCTGTAAAGATTTGCCTGTTCTGGACATTGCGCTTACAAATGGAATCATACAACATGTGGTCTTATTTATTTATTTTAATTTGTTTTTTTTTTCCTTTTATCTTCCCATGCTACATTGACCTAAACATACGGCCTTTGTGAACATATAAAAATTTTAACCCCGGTCCCTTCTGTGAATCACACTGCTTCCTCCCTAGGCCAGACCACCATCATATTGTAGCTAAAGTGCCACAGCTATCTCCTAGTTTCTTTCCTTCCTCCTTCCCTCCGTCCTTCCCTTTTCCCTTCTTCCTTCCTTCCCTCCTTCCTTCCCTCCCTCCTTCCTTCCCTCCTTCCCTCCCTCCTTCCTTCCCTCCCTCCTTCCTTCCCTCCTTCCCTCCCTCCTTCCTTCCCTCCTTCCCTCCCTCCCTCCCTCCTTCCTTCCCTCCCTCCTTCCTTCCCTCCCTCCTTCCTTCCCTCCTTCCTTCCCTCCTTCCTTCCCTCCCTCCTTCCTTCCCTCCTTCCCTCCCTCCTTCCTTCCCTCCCTCCTTCCTTCCCTCCTTCCCTCCCTCCTTCCTTCCCTCCTTCCCTCCCTCCCTCCCTCCTTCCTTCCCTCCTTCCCTCCCTCCCTCCTTCCTTCCCTCCTTCCCTCCCTCCCTCCTTCCTTCCCTCCTTCCCTCCCTTCTTCCTTCCCTCCTTCCCTCCCTCCTTCCTTCCCTCCTTCCCTCCCTCCCTCCTTCCTTCCCTCCTTCCCTCCCTCCTTCCTTCCCTCCTTCCCTCCCTCCCTCCTTCCTTCCCTCCTTCCCTCCCTTCTTCCTTCCCTCCTTCCCTCCCTCCTTCCTTCCCTCCTTCCCTCCCTTCTTTCTTCCCTTCTTCACTCCTTCCCTCCCTCCCTCCCTCCCTCCCTGGCTGGAATGCAGTAGCTCAGTCACTGCTCACTGCAGCCTGGGCTCAAACGATCCTCCCGCCTCAGCCTCCCCAGTAGCTGGGAATTCAGGTGCCCTCCACACCTGGCTGATTTTTATTTTTTGTAGTGATGGGGTCTTGCCGTTTTGCCCAGGCTGCTGTCCAACTGTTGGGCTCAAGCAGTCCTCCCAGCTAGGCCTCCCAAAGTGCTGGGATTCCAGGTGTGAGCCACCGCACCGGCCCCTCTGTCTGTTTTTCTGTTACTGTCTCTGTCTCTCTGAGTTTCTTGTCCCCCCTGTCTCTCGTTCCTTATCCCCATCTCTCAGGGTCTCAGTCCCTACCCTTGGGGTCTCCCCGGCGCCCAGTCTCTGCCCCTCTCACTCCCTCTTCCCACCTTCCTTCCAAGCTCCCTGTCCTCCTCCTGCAGACTTGAGCTCTGCCCACCTGCCTGTCTGACCGCGGCCCTCCCTCCCCGCCCCACAGGCCCGTTCTTCCGCTACCGCACCTACCTGGACTGGCTGGAGCAGCCCTTCCCCGGGGCAGTGCCCAGCCTGCGGCCCCTGCTGCGCCGCGCCTGGCCGGCCCCGCTCTTCGGCCTGCTGTTCCTGCTCTCCTCTCACCTCTTCCCGCTGGAGGCCGTGCGCGAGGACGCCTTCTACGCCCGCCCGCTGCCCGCCCGCCTCTTCTACATGATCCCCGTCTTCTTCGCCTTCCGCATGCGCTTCTACGTGGCCTGGATTGCCGCCGAGTGCGGCTGCATTGCCGCCGGCTTTGGGGCCTACCCCGTGGCCGCCAAAGCCCGGGCCGGAGGCGGCCCCACCCTCCAATGCCCACCCCCCAGCAGGTCAGGCGGCGCGAGGGAGGCTTCCCAAGACCCAGCAGCCCCCACCTCCAAGGGCTGGCTCTGCCCCTAGCCGGGAGGAGAGCGGGGAGCAAGGGGCCAGGGCCACCACCTTTTTGAGCAGAGTGTCGCCCCCTCGGCAACCATGGCCTGCCAGCCCCTGTCGGTAGGGAAAAGATCCCTGGTACTGACAGATGCCCCTTGTTGCTAGCGCTTGTCACCCCGCAGTGTGGTGAACTGCCCCCTGTCGCTAGGAAAAGGTGGTAACTTAGCAACCCTGTGCCACCCCTCTGTTGCCACAGAAGTGTCACCCCCCAGAACCAGATTGTTCCTGCTTGCTGGGGATGCCATCCTTTGCTAGTGGTGGGTCACCCTCTGTTGCTAGGGAAACGGTTCCCTAGCAACAGAACGCCACTATTTGCTAGGGAAGCAGGATCCCTAGCAACAGTAGCTCACCTCCTTTTTACCAGAAGTTTTGCTCTGTTGCTGCAGATACGGCACTCCCTGCACTGCCCCTTTGTTGCTAGGAGCTAGCACTGCTCCACCCCGTGGGATGTCCTCACATAGCAGCCCTCAGCAGCCCTCTGCAAGGAAATAGCAATTTCCAATCCCTGACCAGTGCTGTTCCCCAGCAGAGGGCACGCCATTCCTACCAACTACAGTTACACTGTTGCTAAGGAAGCCAAACCTCCCCCTGGAAACTATGGGTTGACCCTTGTTGCCAGAGAGGCTCCACCCCCCGGCACCTGCATTGCTAGGCAAGTCGCACGGCCATAGCTGTGGACTCTCTTGTGGCTGAGGAAGTATTGCCCCCGTGTTGCTAGGGAGATGGCACCCCCGGCAACCAGGAGTAGACTGCCCTTGTGTTCCTGACAGCTGCAGTCAGCCTTCCCCCAGGGGCTTGGACTGCGGCTGGGGGAACAGCCTGTTGATGTAAATGATGAACTACTACTCCCTGCTAGGGTTGTCCCCTAGTCGTCACAAACTGCCATTCTGTTGTGGGGGTAGTGACACCCCCACGGGAATTTGTTACCACTGCCCTAATAACCGTGCCCTGACCTCCAGCTGCTAGAGAGAGGATGTCCCCCTAGTAAAGCCAAGCAGGAATTGAAGGTTTTTCTAAATCTGCTCGGTCCTCACTCCTAAAGGATGGCTCCCCTCCTGTCATCAGAGGCCACCAAGGCTTCATATGGGCCAGTGTTTCCCACTGCTGGGGCTGTCGACATGAGTGATGAGGGAGCCACTGTATTGCTAGAGGTGACACTTCTCCAATAATCACTGCGACCAGGAAAAAAGCCCCTTCCTAAAAGCCTTTCTAAACATCCTAGGCATTGTTGCTAAGGAATGCCTTTTCCTTAGCAACAAAGATCATGGGGACCCCACTGGCGCCTGGAACATCTCCCTAGCAACCGTGAAGCACCTTGTTATTAGGGATGATAACCACAACTTCCCTGGCAACTGCAGTGTCCGACAATTTAGAAGGGACCATCCTTGGCGGCTTCTCTGAATATACTGAGCTTGGTTGCTAAAGGACTCATAGCTTAGCAACCATAGCCCTTCAAGGCTTTTCATGGCTGTGGCGGGCCCCATTAGGTACCAAAAGAAGAAGAACCCCATTGTCAGTGAACTGTACCACCCAGCCCACCCACCTTCCTACCCTACAGGCACCCTCTGGGCCACCCTCCCTTGCTGCCCTAGCAAGTCTGACAGCCAGAGGGCCATTGCCTGGCCAGGATCCCTTCCTTAGCATCCGGGGCTGGGACACTAGCAGGCGTCGGGAGGGGGCCTGGCTGAGCTGCATGTCTGTCCCCCACCCTCATCCTCCACCCCCCAGTCCGGAGAAGGCGGCTTCCTTGGAGTATGACTATGAGACCATCCGCAACATCGACTGCTACAGCACAGATTTCTGCGTGCGGGTGCGCGATGGCATGCGGTACTGGAACATGACGGTGCAGTGGTGGCTGGCGCAGTATATCTACAAGAGCGCACCTGCCCGTTCCTATGTCCTGCGGTGAGTGAGCCCGCCCAGTCTCAGGTGACACTGCAGAACTACATCTCCCAGCAGGCCCCAGGGTAGCCTGCAGCGTCCCTGGCTGGGCCCCTGCCCCCGGAGGCTCATGGGAATTGTAGTTTGTTTAGCCTGGTTTTGCCCTGCCTCTAATTATAGTGGCAGCATGCCGGTGTAAAATCGTTCCCCCTCTCGGGGCCTCAGTTGCTACTTCTGTAAAGTCAGCCTCACTCAGCAGAAGCAATGTACTGAGTCCTGTGGACTCAATAGCCAGCCTTCCTGGAATCTTGGCCGTCCAGGTTATGGAGAAACCTTGAGGAGTTAGTTGACCTCTTAGTTGCCTCAAGTGTTGAATGGAGTGAATGCTATTTATTACTGGTTTCATAGGTAGATAGAAGGACTAAATGTGATAAAATGTGAAATGTATTTAATGTGAGGCCTGACAGGTAAGTGCGTGCTGTGTATTCATTTTTATTGTTTTTCATTCTTCCAATATTTCTCGAGTGGAGACTCTGTGCTTGACACTGTTATCTGTGCAGCCTTTAGAAGCAGAAACTCAGCCGGGTGCGGCAGCTCACGCCTGGAATCCCAGCACTTTGGGAGGCCCAAGCAGGTGGATCATGAGGTCAGGAGTTCGAGACCAGCCTGACCAACATGGTGACATGCTGTCTCTACTAAAAATACAAAAAATTACCCTGGTGTGGTGGTGGGCGCCTGTAGTCCCAGCTACTCGGGAGGCTGAGGCAGGAGAATGGCTTGAACCCGGGAGGCAGAGGTTGCAGGGAGCTGGGATCTCGCCACTGCACTCCAGCCTGGGCGACAGCGAGACTCCGTCTCAAAAAAAAAAAAAAAAAAAAAAAAAAAAAAAAACAGAAGTAGAACTCATAGCCAGGCATGGTGGCTCACACTTGTAATCCCAGCAGTTTGGGAGGCCCAGGCAGGTGGATCATCTTGAGGTCAGGGCAATATGGTGAAGACCAGCCTGGGCAATATGGAGAAACCCCTTCTCTACTAAAAATACAAAAAATTAGCTAGGCATGGTGGCGGGCGCCTATAATCCCAGCTACTAGGGAGGCTGAGGCAAGAGAATCACTTGAACCCGGGAGGCGGAGGTTGCGGTGAGCCAAGGTCACCTGGGCAACAGAGAGAGACTTTGTCTCAAAATAAAATAAAATAGGCCGGGCACGGTGGCTCATGCCTATAATCCCAGCAATTTGGGAGGCCAAGGTGGGTGGGTCACAAGGTCAGGAGATCAAGACCATCCTGGCTAACACGGTGAAACCCTGTCTCTACTAAAAATACAAAAAATTAGCCGGGTGTGGCGGCGGGTGCATGTAGTCCCAGCTACTGGGGAGGCTGAGGCAGGAGAATGGTGTGAACCCGGGAGACGGAGCTTGCAGTGAGCCGAGATCGCGCCACTGCACTCCAGCCTGGGCAACAGAGCGAGACTCTGTCTCAAAAACAAACAAACAAAAAAACACAAAAAACAAACAAAAATAATTATTAATTTAATTTAATTTAATTAGATAAATGTGGAAGGGGAAGACCCAGGAAGGGTAAGTTTTGGGAGTAAGAAGGATATTATTATTAGTATTAGTATTAGTATTAGTATTAGTATTAGTATTAGTATTTTGATGCTCTGTCACCCAGGATGGAGTGCAGTGTTGTGATCTCAGCTCACTGCAACCTCCATCTCCTGGGTTCAAGTGATTCTCGTGCCAAGAGTAGACGCAGGGTTTCACCATGTTGGCCAGGCTGGTCTCGAACTCTTGGCCTCAAGTGATCCGCGTGCCTCGGCCTCCCAACGTGCTGGGATTACAGGCGTGAGTCACCATGCCCGGCCAAAATTTTTTAAGTATTATTATTATTTTTTTTTTACTTTTTAAAAAATGTATAGAGATGAGGTCTCACTGTGTTGACCAGGCTGGTCTCAAACTCCTGGCCCCAAGCAGTCCTCCCATCTCAGCCTCCCAAAGTGCTGAGATTACAAGCATGAGCCACTGCATCTGGCCAGGTATAGATGACGCTTAAAGCTCT
This sequence comes from Homo sapiens, assembly GCF_000001405.40. Lineage (NCBI taxonomy): Eukaryota > Metazoa > Chordata > Mammalia > Primates > Hominidae > Homo > Homo sapiens. The sequence goes on along the minus strand of NW_003571060.1, from coordinate 151,524 downwards.
GGGGCTGAGGCCAGGTCAAAGCACCCCAGTGTTTAGACAAGTGCTTCTCAACTGGGGGCAACTGTGCTGCTGCTGCACCCCCAGGAGACACATGGCAATCCCTGGAGACATGTTGTTGTAACTGGAAGGTGCTAGTCGGATGTCGTGGGTGGGGGCCAGGGATGCTCCTAAACACCTTAAAATGCACAGGATCCATCGTTTTTGTTTATTTTACAGCTCAAGTGCAGTGGCGTGATCTCGGCTCACTGCAACCTCTCCCTCCCAGGTTCAAGCAATCCTCCTGTCTCAGCCCCCCTAGTAGCTGGGATTATAGGCACGTGCTACCATGACAGACTAATCTTTGTATTTTTAGCCTCCTAAAGTGCTGGGATTACAGGTGCCAGCCATTGCACCCAGCCTCCGCACTCTTGAAGAACCAGAAAGCCAATGGTCCTCCCTTCTCAAGAAAACAAGAGTTGGCCAGGTGCAATGGCTGACATCTGTAATTCCAGTATTTTGGGAGGCCAAGGTGAGAGGATCACTTAAGCTCAGGAGTTCGAGACCAGCCAGGTCAACATAGCAAGACTCCATCTTTACAAAGAAAAAAAAAGAGGCTGGGCGCGGTGGCTCAGACCTGTAATCCCAGCACTTTGGGAGGCCAAGGTGGGTGGATCACAAGGTCAGGAGATCGAGACCATCCTGGCCAACGTGGTGAAACCCCATCTCTACTAAAAATACAAAAATGGCTGGGTGCAGTGGCTCACGCCTGTAATCCCAGCACTTTGGTAGGCCACGGCGGGTGGATCACAAGGTCAAGAGATTGAGAGCATCCTGGCCAACATGGTGAAACCCCGTCTTTACCAGAAATACAAAAATTAGCCTGGCATGGTGGTGGGCACCTGTAGTCCCAGCTGCTCGGGAGGCTGAGGCAGGAGAATCACTTGAACCCGGGAGGCAGAGGTTGCAGTGAGCCGAGATTGCGCCACTGCACTCCAGCATGGGCGGCAGAGCGAGACTCCGTCTGAACAACAACAACAAAAAATACAGAAATTAGCTGAGTTTGGTGGCGCTTGCCTGTAATCCCAGCTACTTGGGAGGCTGAGGCATAAGAATCGCTTGAATCCAAGAGGCAGAGGCTGCAGTGAGCCTTGTCGTGTGGCAACAGAGCGAGACTCTGTCTCCAAAAAAATAAAAAGAGTGAGGAAAGATGGTGCTGGGCCTTGGAGGAAGAGGAACATATCTCCTGGGCCCAGAATAAGGAAGGACCACAGGCCAGGGACTTCTGGATCTTCATGAGCCAGGCAGGAGTTGTCAAATGTTAACAGGCATCAGAGTCACTGGAGGACTTGTTAACTTGGAAGACTTCTCCTGGGCCCCACCCCCAGGGCTTCTGGTGCAAAAGGGGTGGGGACAAGGATTTGTATGTCTCACAAGTTCTCAGGTGATGCTGATGCCAGACCTGGGACCCCAGGTTAAGAACCACCGGGCTGCCCGGGTGTGGTGTCTGACACCTGTGATCCCAGCACTTTGGGAGGCCAAGGCGGGCAGATCACGAGGTCAGGAGATCGAGACCATCCTGGCTAACACGGTGAAACCCCGTCTCTACTAAAAATAGAAAAGAAAATTAGCCGGGCGTGGTGGCGGGCGCCTGTAGTCCCAGCTACTCGGGAGGCTGAGGCAGGAGAATGGCGTGAACCTGGGAGGCGGAGCTTGCAGTGAGCCAAGATCGCGCCACTGCACTCTAGCCTGGGCGACAGAGCGAGACTCTGTCTCAAAAAAAAAAAAAAAAAAACCACTGGGCTGAAGAATTAAGACTTGTTGGTCCTGGGAGAGGAAGGGCAGTGGAATATAAAATGTTAAATCTTTAAAGAAGAAGAGGGTCTTGATAGGACTGAGTGTGTATGGAAGGCTGCGAGCTCCTGGATCCCTGAAGGAGACAGAGGCCTGTAGCCTCCTCCGCCTTCCGGAGCTAGGGTCATGGGTCTGAGTGGGGAGGGCCTGGGGCCTGGTCTCCTGGATCTGAGGGAGGAGGGAGGTGGGGTCTGGTCTCCTGGATCTGAGGGAGGAGGGAAGTGGGGTCTGGACTCCTGGATCTGAGGGAGGAGGGAGGTGGGGTCTGGTCTCCTGGGTCTGAGGGAGGAGGGACTGGGGCCTGATCTCCTGGGTCTGAGGGAGGAAGGGGTGGGGTCTGGACTCCTGGGTCTGAGGGAGGAGGGGCTGGGCCTGCACTTCTCGGTCTGAGGGAGGAGGGGCTGGGGTCCTGGACTCCTGGATCTGGGGGCAGTGGGCACTGGGGACCTGGACTCGTAGGTCCTGACTCCCAGCCTCCTCCTCAGGAGCGCCTGGACCATGCTGCTGAGCGCCTACTGGCACGGCCTCCACCCGGGCTACTACCTGAGCTTCCTGACCATCCCGCTGTGCCTGGCTGCCGAGGGCCGGCTGGAGTCAGCCCTGCGGGGGCGGCTGAGCCCAGGGGGCCAGAAGGCCTGGGACTGGGTGCACTGGTTCCTGAAGATGCGCGCCTATGACTACATGTGCATGGGCTTCGTGCTGCTCTCCTTGGCTGACACCCTTCGGTACTGGGCCTCCATCTACTTCTGTATCCACTTCCTGGCCCTGGCAGCCCTGGGGCTGGGGCTGGCTTTAGGTGGGGGCAGCCCCAGCCGGCGGAAGGCAGCATCCCAGCCCACCAGCCTTGCCCCGGAGAAGCTCCGGGAGGAGTAAGCTGTCACGACGCTCCCTCTGCCAGCTGGTCCCGGGAATTCTGTGAACCAGGCTGCTGTCTCCTCCCCAGAAAGAGTCCTTACCTTGGAGAGGGTCCTGGAGAGAATTTCCTCTTCCCCAGCTAAATACCCTGCCTGCAACTGAAGCAGACCCGGGGGTGTCCTCCCTGCCCTCTGCCCAGAGGCCACCTCCACTCCTACAAAATCAAAGTATTGTCCAGACAAGAGTCACTGGCCCCTGCTCCAGCTTCTGGGTATCCAGAGAGCACTGCACTTCCCCAAAACGGAAGGGGCCCCTGGGCAGTGGGTTTTGGGCAAATTCCCTTTCTTTGCATCCACAATGTGGGGTCGGAGCTTGGGGGCAGGTCCTGGGAGTGGGAAGCCTCTTCCTTGTGTCTTTCGCTCCACTTTTAGCTCATCGCACCAATATTGCAGACTTGGAAGGAAGCATAAGCTTCCCATTTCACAAAGGGGAAACTGAGGTGCGGGTGCGCGGGCCTGGGGACGGCCGTCCCATGGCTTCCATCTGAGCCACCTCGGGACCCCAGCACTCCTGGCGCCCTCTTCTCATAGCTTGGCCTATGACAGGTCACCGTGTGTAAATCTTTCCCAATAAAGTGTTGCACAAAGGCATCGTGTCCGTGCAGGTATCTGGGTGATAAACGGTGGGAAGGACTTAGTCCACCAAGTCCCAGGGTGAGGTACAGCCCCCCCGCCCAGCCCAGGAACCAAACTGTGAGGCCCGGGGCACCACGGGGACTTCAGCTCCCAGGAGACCTTTCGCATCAGCGGCCCTGAGAAACCACAGGAAGTGTACCTTACTCCCTCCGGGCCACCTGCTGGCCAGGTACACACCTGCCCCTGGCCCCTCCCTTACCTGGGGCAGTGTCTGCCTGGTGGCCACTAGAGACAGCCCAGCCTGGGGCCATGGAAGAAAACCCGACCTTGGAATCAGAAGCCTGGGGCTCCTCTAGGGAGTGGCTGGCCCCCCGGGAGGCCAGAGGAGGTAGGGAATGCCAGGAGAAGCTCAGATCCATCCGACCTTCAGGCTAGGTGGGAGTCCTGCTGGAGGAGGAAAGGGGAGGCCTGGCCTCCTGAGTCTGAGGGCTAAAGAGAGAAGGTTCCACTTCCTGATATTATGGGGGAGAAGGGAACTGGAGGCTGGAACTCCAGGGTCTGAGGAGGAGGAGCCTGGAGAACCAGGCTAGTCTGGGAGGAGGGGAGGGCTAAGGGCTGGGAGTTTGGGTGTCTTGGGAATAGGAGAGGCTGGGTTCCCACACTCCTGAGCTAGAGGGAAAAGGAAGTTAAAGCCTGGACTCCACTGCCCTGGAGTAGGAGGGTTCCACGCTTGGGGATGGAGTTGAGGGCTGTGGACCCCTGGGTCCAGGGGAAGTAGAGGCTGGCACCCGGACTCCTGGGCCTGAGGGAGGAGGGGCTGGGAACCTGGTTTCCTGGTCTGAGGGAGGAGGGGCTGGGTGCCTGGATTCCTATGTCTGAGGGAGGAGGAGCCGGGGGCCTGGACTCCTGGGTCTGAGGGAGGAGGGGCCGGGGGCCTGTTCTCCTGGGTCTGAGGGAGGAGGAGCCGGGGGCCTGGACTCCTGGGTCTGAGGGAGGAGGGGCCGGGGGCCTGTTCTCCTGGGTCTGAGGGAGGAGGAGCCGGGGGCCTGGACTCCTGGGTCTGAGGGAGGAGGAGCCGGGGGCCTGGACTCCTGGGTCTGAGGGAGGAGGAGCCGGGGGCCTGGACTCCTGGGTCTGAGGGAGGAGGAGCCGGGGGCCTGGACTCCTGGGTCTGAGGGAGGAGGAGCCGGGGGCCTGGACTCCTGGGTCTGAGGGAGGAGGGGCCGGGGACCTGGTTTCCTGGTCTGAGGGAGGAGGAATTAGGGCCCAGACTCCCGGGTCTTCCCAGCCCCCTGCTCCTCCCCAGGCCCATCGCTGTCTTCTGTGCTGAACGAGCTGCCCAGTGCTGCCACCCTTCGGTACCGAGACCCTGGGGTGCTGCCTTGGGGGGCGCTGGAGGAGGAGGAGGAGGATGGAGGAAGGAGCAGAAAGGCCTTCACAGAAGTCACCCAGACAGAGCTGCAGGACCCTCACCCTTCCCGGGAACTGCCCTGGCCCATGCAGGCCAGACGGGCATACAGGTGAGGCCCCACCTCCAGCTGGGACCCGCACAGCCCGGACCGGGCCCTTCTCCCATACCCTGGACTCGGTCTCCTCCCTCTGTCCTCTGCCGCTCCTGGCTTCTGGGGCCTCTCTCTGCCCCGCTCAGAGCTGCCTCTCTTGGTTTCTTTCTTCCCCTCATCTTTGTCTCTACTTCGGACTCCAGGTGAGTGCTGCCTTTCGATGGCTCTGGGGTCTCTTCTCTCTGGGATTTGCCGTCTCCCTGGTCTCCACCAATCCTGTCTCTGCCTCAGTTTCTCTCTGTGTGTGTGTCCAAAATCTGTTAATATTTATTTCTCTCTGCTTTATACCTTCCTTCATCTTTGCCTCCTCTTCCAAGCCTCCCTCTCTTTAACTTCTTTCTTTTCCCATTCTCACTGCATAATTTGCAGGGCCTGGTGAACAATGAAAATGCAGGTGCCCTCCTTCAAAAATGATTATGGGCCCATTGCAGTGGCTCACACCTGTAATCCCAGCACTTTGGGAGGCCCAGGCGAGTGGATCACCTGTGGTCAGGAGTTCGAGACCAGCCTGGCCAACATGGCAAAACCCCAACTCTACTAAAAATACAAACATTAGCTGGGTGTGGTGGCGGGTGCCTGTAATCCCAGCTACTCGGGAGGCTGAAGCAGGAGAATCGCTTGAACCAGGGAGATAGAGGTTGCAGTGAGCCAAGATCGTGCCATTGGACTCCGGCCTGGGTGATAGAGCGGGACTCCATCTCAAATATATATGCGTATATATATGCATATGTGTGTATATATATACACATATATATGTATATATATGTGTATATATATGGAAAAAACAATAAAAAATAACAATGTATCAACACTCCCACACCGATCAGTAGTGGGATCATGCCTGTGAATATAGCCACTATACTGCGGCCTGAGTAACATAGCGAGACCCCCATCTCTATTTTTTAAAAGTAATAATCAAAGTAACAATATGACAAAAAATAATACAAGTTAAAAGAACAGCTATCTATATAACATTTACCTTGTACCGGGTGTTATAAGTAATCTAGAGGTGATTTAAAGTGCATTGGAGGGCTGGGTGTCGTGGCCCATACCTGTAGCCCCAGCGCTTTGGGAGGCTGAGGTGGGAGAATTGCTTGAGCCTGGAAGTTTGAGGCTGCATTGAGCTATGATTGCACCACTGCACTCCAGCCTGGACAACAAAACGAGACATTTGTCTGTAAAAATCAGATAAAAATTAAAATAAAATAAAATAAACACAGGAGGATGTGTGTAGCCTGTATGCAAATACTATACCGTTTTATATAAGGAATTTGGGCATCTACAGATTTCAGTATTCTTGGGGAGTCCTTGAACCAACCCCCATGGATACTGAGGGATGGCTGTATTCATAAAGTGAGAGCCCAGATAAACTCCAGCTAGGGCAAGTGACACGGCATGACAGCACCCTGTGCGTCCCTCCCCTGACACCCCCTTTTTCCTCACAAATACAAGGTAACCTCTTCTCCCTAACCTTTTTTTTTTTTTTTGACAGAGTCTTGCTCTGATGCCCAGGCTGGAGTGCAGTGGTGCAGTCTCAGCTCACTGCAGCCTCCGACACCTGGGCTCAAGCGATCCTCCCACTCCAGCCTCCTGCTTTTCTGTAGAGCTTTGCAAGCTGTGCTCTGCAACGTTGTGCAAATAGAATCATACAGTCTTCAGTCTTTTGTGCTGGCTTCTTCTGCCTAGCATTAGGTTTCTTTCTTTTCTTTCTTTCTTTCCTTTCTTGGAATCTCACTCCGTCACCCAGGCTGGAATGCAATGGCGCCATCTCAGCTCACTGCAACCTCCACCTCCCAGGTTCAAGCAATTTTCCTGCCTCAGCCTCTCGTGTAGCTGGGATTACAGGCACCCGCCACCAGGCCCAGCTAATTTTTTTTTTTTTTTGGTATTTTTAGTAGAGACAGGATTTCACCATGTTGGTCAGGCTGGTCTCGAACTCCTGACCTCAGGTGATTCACCCACCTCGGCCTCCCAAAGTGCTGGGATTACAGGCCTGAGCCACTGTACCCAGCTGGTTTCTTTTTTATTGCTACAGAGTATTCTATCTTATGTATAGGCCACAATTTACTTCTCCATTCTACTGTTGGATTGTGTCTACATTCAGATGGTTCCCAGTCTGGGGCTGCGAAACCCCTCATTTTCTGCCTGTTTCCCTCCCAGGCAAAGAAATGCCAGCAGGGACCAGGTGGTCTATGGCTCTGGAACTAAGACGGACCGATGGGCGCGGCTACTTCGGAGGTCCAAGGAGAAAACAAAGGAAGGCTTGCGAAGCCTGCAGCCCTGGGCGTGGACACTGAAGAGGATCGGGGGTGCGGTGGGGTTTGGGTGGTGTCCTGGGGGCAGGGCCTGGACTCCTGGGTCTGAGGGAGGAGGGGCTGGGGACGGACTCCTGGGTTTGAGGGAGGAGGGGCTTGGGCCTGGATTTTTGGGTCTGAGGGAGGAGGGGCTGGGGGTCTGGACTCTTGGGTCTGAGAAAGGCACGGCTGGGCCTGGCGCGGTGGCTCACGCCTGTAATCCCAACAGTTTGGGAGGCCGAGGTGGGTGGATCACCTGAGGTCAAGAATTCGAGACCAGCCTGACCAACATGGTGAAACCCCCGTCTCTACCAAAAATACAAAAACTAGCTGAGCATGGTGGCGCACGCCTGTAATCCCAGCTACTCGTGAGGCTGAGACAGGAGAATTGCTTGAACCCAGGAGGCGGAGGTTGCAGTGAGCCGAGATCGCGCCACTGCACTCCATGCTGGGCGGCAGAGCGAAACTCCGTCTCAAAAAAAAAAAAAGAAAAGAAAAGAAAAGAAAAAAAAAAAAATATATATATATATATAGAGAGAGAGAGAGAGAGAGAAAGAAGAAGGAAGGAAGGAAGGAAGGAAGGAAGGAAGGAAGGAAGGAAGGAAAGAAAGAAGAAAGAAAGAAAGGAAAGAAAGAAAAGAAAAGAAAAGAAAAGAAAAGAAAAGAAAAGAAAAGAAAAGAAAAGAAAAGAAAAGAAAAGAAAGAAAAGAAAAGAAAGAAAGAAAGGAAGGCGCGGCTGGACCCCAGTCCAGGGGTAGGAGGGGCTGGTCCTGCTCCCGGGAAGGAACCTGAGCCTCTCTCTGCTGCCCCCTGCAGGCCAGTTTGGCGCCGGCACGGAGTCCTACTTCTCCCTGCTGCGCTTCCTGCTCCTTCTTAACGTGCTGGCCTCTGTGCTCATGGCCTGCATGACGCTGCTGCCCACCTGGTTGGGAGGCGCTCCCCCAGGCCCTCCCGGCCCCGACATCTCCTCGCCCTGCGGCTCCTATAACCCCCACTCCCAGGGCCTGGTCACCTTTGCCACCCAGCTCTTCAACTTGCTCTCGGGTGAGGTAGGTGCCTGGGTCCCTGGGGGATTCCCCGCCCACCTGTGACCCCAGTGCCTTCAATGACACGAACCTCAAACCCTGACCCCAGACCCTGACTGTGCAGCTCCAGGAGCCCCGCCTCCTCCCACAGTGGCCCCTGCGCCGCCTTCCCCCCACAGGGTTACCTGGAATGGTCCCCTCTCTTCTATGGCTTCTACCCGCCCCGCCCACGCCTGGCGGTCACCTACCTGTGCTGGGCCTTTGCCGTTGGCCTCATCTGCCTCCTGCTCATCCTGCATCGGTCAGTGGCACCTGCACCCCTGACCCCTGACGGGACGGGTTGGGGTGGGGGAGCAAGTGGTGGTGGCAGAAACCCCCTCCCCAAGAATCCTCAGTCTTTTTTTTTTTGAGACGGAGTTTTGCTCTTATTGCCCAGGCTAGAGTGTAGTGGCGCAATCTCGGCTCACTGCAACCTCCGCCTTCCGGTTTCAAGCGATTCTCCTGCCTCAGCCTCCCAAGTTGCTGGGATTACAGGCGCCCGCCACCACGCCCAGCTAACTTTTTTGTATTTTTAGTAGAGATGGGGTTTCACCATGTTGGTCAGGCTGGTCTTGAACTGCTGACCTCGTGATCCACCCGCCTCGGCCTCCCACAGTGCTGGGATTACAGGCGTGAGCCACCGCGCCCGGCCCCAGAATCCTCGGTCTTGCTGTGTAACCCTTTATTCTGTGTGAGTTAAAATCAAGGTTTTGGGCCAGGAGCGGTGGCCCAGGAGGTGGAGCTTGCAGTGAGCCGAGTTTGCGCCACTGCACTCCAGCCTGGGCGACAGAGAGAAACTCCATCTAAAAAAAAAAAAAAGATCAAGGTTTTGGGATTTGTTTTTGTTTTTCATTTGTTTTGTTTGTTTGTTTTTGAGACAGAGTCTTACTCTGTCGCCCAGGCTGGAGTGCAATGGCACGATCTTGGCTCACTGCAACCTCCACCTCCCGGGTTCAAGCGATTCTACTGCCTCACCCTCCCAAGTAGCTGGGTTTACAGGCTCCGGCCACCACGCCCAGCTAATTTTTTGTATTTTTAGTAGAGACGGGGTATCGCCATGTTGGCCAGGCTGGTCTCGAACTCCTGATCTCAGGTGATCCACCTGCCTCGGCCTCCCAAAGTGCTGGGATTACAGGTGTGAGCCACCGCACCCAGTCTGTTTTGTTTTTTGAGACAGGGTCTCACTCTGTCACCCGGCTAGCGTGCAGTGGTGCAATCATAGCTCACCGGAAGCCTGGGCCTCCGGAACTCAACTGATCCGCCTACCTCAGCCTCGGGAGCAGCTGGGACCACAGGGGTGCACCACCATGTCTTGCTAAAAATTTTTTTTTAATGTTATAGAGACAGGGTCTTGCTATGTTGCCCAGGCTGCGCTCAAACTCCTAGGCTCAAGAGATCTGCTCACCTCAGCCTCCCAAGGTGCTGGAATTACAGGCATGAGCCAATGTGCCTGGCCAAAAGTCAACTTTTTTTTTTTTTTGAGACGGAGTCTCGCTCTGTCACCCAGGCTAGAGTGCAGTAGTGCGATCTCAGCTCACTGCAACCTCCGCCGCCCGGGTTCAAGCAATTTTCCTGCCTCAACCTCCCAAGTAGCTGGGATTACAGGCATGTGCCACCATGCCCGGCTAATTTTGTATTTTTAGTAGAAATGGGGTTTCACCATGTTTGTCAGGCTGGTCTCGAACTCCTGACCTCAGGTGATGCACCCGCCTCGGTCTCCCAAAGTGCTGGGATTACAGGCGTGAGCCACCACGCCCGGCAAAGAGCCTCGATTTTAAGAGAAGGGAAAAGCCCTGGAATAGGTCTTAAACAGGGGAATACGGTCTGAGTTGCATCAAAAGAAGGTCCCACTGGCTCAAGAACTGAGAATGGATTATATGCGGGCACAAGTGGAAGCAAGGAGACCATGTGAGGGCCCTCTGTGGTTGTTCACATGAGAGATGATGGGGGCCGGGGCCAGGGCAGTGAAGGTGCACATGGTCTCTTTGTCCAGTTCTGTTTCTGCCCCTGCTGGGGTTCTCTATCTCCTTCCTGGGTCTTTGCCCCCCTCTCTTGAGTCTCTTTACCTGCCCGTCTTCTCTGGGTCTTTTTTTTTTTTTTTTTTTTTTTGGAGGCGACCTCCACCTCCTGGGTTCAAGTGATCCTCCCACCTCAGCCTCCCAAGTAGTTGGGATTACAGGCATGCACCACCACGCCTGGCTAATTTTTGTATTTTTAGTAGAGACGGGGTTTCACCACATTGGCCAGGCTGGTCTCAAACTCCTGACCTCAGGTGATCCTCCCCCCTCGGCCTCCCAAAGTGCTGGGATTACAGGCGTGAGCCATGGCGCCTGGCCTGCCCCCTCTCTTGAGTCTTTACCTGCCATCTTCTCTGGGTCTCTGTCTTCTTCTCGGCTCTTCCCGCCGCAGCTCCCTTCTCTGTGTGCCTGTACTTCTTATGGGTCTTTGACCCCCATCTTTTGTAGATGTAGTTTCCCCTTTCTCACTGTCTTTTTCTCCCTTTCTCCGAATCTCCCTCTGGGGCCTCTGTCCCTCCTCCACATCTCTGTCTTCCTCAGGGCCTCTGTTTCTCTCACTCTGGGTTTCTGCCCCCTTCGCTCCGAGGCTCTGTCCCTGTCTCCTAGGTTTCTGCCTCTCTTTGGGGTGCCTGCACCCCAGAACTGTCTCTGAATCTCCCTTGGACTTTGCCTTCAATGACTGTGTCTCCGCCTCTTTGACTCTTTCCCCATCTGGTCTGGTGGGAACTCGCCTAGTACCCAAGGCCTTAGGGTTCATCTTCCCCATTTGTCCCAATATGAGGGGTCTCCCCATAACCCCCGTTCCTGGCTGTCCTTTCACTTCCCGTCTCCCGGGTCTCCCCTCTCAGCTCGGTGTCTGGGCTGAAGCAGACACTGCTGGCGGAGTCCGAGGCTCTGACCAGCTACAGCCACCGGGTGTTCTCGGCCTGGGACTTCGGTCTCTGCGGGGACGTCCACGTGCGGCTGCGCCAGCGCATCATCTTGTACGAATTAAAGGTGCGATTAGGGAGCGGGGTCTGCAACTGGGTAGGGACCAGACAGGACCGGGCTGAGATAACGCACAGGGCCTAACTCGGTGATGGGGCCTCCGGAGAGATGCTAAGCAGCTCCTTCTCCAAGAAAGGCAGGTCCTGGGGAATGAGAAGGTTGAGAGGAGGCCGAGATAGGGCTGCCCGAGCTCCAAGCGTGTAGGAAAAGGATGCGCCAGGGCTGGGATCGGTGGCTAATGCTTGTAACCCCAGCACTTTGGGAGACCGAGACAGGTGGATCGCTTCAGTCTAGGAGTTCGAGACCAGCCTGGGCAACATAGGGAGGCTCCCTCTCTACCAAAAAAAAAAAAAAAAAGTTTGTTTTTTTTTAAGTAAGCACAAGAAGCGGGCGGGGCCTAAGGCAATTTGGTTCAAAGTTAAGTGATGGGAGCGGCCAGCAGGGCGTCTTGATACAGCTGAACTGGAACTTCAGGCCAGGAATAAAGCGCAGGGCCACCTGGGGGCGGAGCCTCTGATGGGCAGGGCTGACCAGGGGCGGGTCTTGGGATGCTGGGCGGAGCCTCAGGGGCGGGGCCTGGGGTGCTGAGATTGACCGCGGAGGGATGGGGGCTTGGGTTGCTGGATCCGGCCGCGAAGGGGCGGGGCTGTAAAGGGCCGCTGGTTTCCTGGAGCGGGTGGAACCAGGACTGCAGAGGTTGTTAGCGGGTGGGGAGACGGCTGCATCAGTTCACGTTAAGGAGGATCTCTGGAGAGCCAGACCTGGGGAACCGGGAGGCCCGCGCCTTGGGAAATGGAGTCCAAGCGGGCATCTCTCCTGCCTTCAGGTGGAGCTGGAGGAGACAGTGGTGCGGCGCCAGGCTGCGGTGCGGACGCTGGGCCAGCAAGCCAGGGTTTGGTTGGTGCGGGTGCTGCTCAACCTGCTGGTGGTCGCGCTCCTGGGGGCAGCCTTCTATGGCGTCTACTGGGCTACGGGGTGCACCGTGGAGCTGCAGGTGCGGACGGTCTTGGAAGAGGAAGCCAGGGGGTCCTGGAACCTACATTTCCAACGGTGGAGGGAGGGGACGGAAGTTTGGGATGCCAGAGATCTTAGAGAGGAAGTATGGGAGAGGGTATGTTCGGACCCTGGACTTAGGGATTTTAAAGGAAAAAGAGAGGCTGGGCGCGGTGGCTTACACCTGTAATCCCAGCACTTTGGGAGGCTGAGGCGGGCGGATCACGATGTCAGGAGTTCCAGACCAGCCTGACCAACATGGTGAAAAACAGTCTCTACTAAAAATACAAAAATTAGACGGGCGTGGTGGTGGGCGCCTGTAATCCCAGCTACTCAGGAGGCTGAGGCAGGAGAATCACTTGAACCCGGGAGGCAGAGGTTGCAGCGAGCCGAGATCGCACCGCTGCATTCTAGGCTGGGCAACAGAGCGAGACTCTGTCTCAAAAAAAAAAAAAAAAGAAGAAGAAGAAGAAGAGGCCGGGGGGAGGACCTTAAGCTTGGCTCCTCCAGGACCCCAAGCCTCTACTCATGGTCCATCCCGCTCCCAGGAGATGCCCCTTGTCCAGGAGTTGCCACTGCTGAAGCTTGGGGTGAATTACCTTCCGTCCATCTTCATCGCTGGGGTCAATTTTGTGCTGCCGCCCGTGTTCAAGCTCATTGCTCCACTGGAGGGCTACACTCGGAGTCGCCAGATCGTTTTTATCCTGCTCAGGTTCCAGCCTCACGGGGATGGCTGGGAATGATGAAGGGTGGGGGCGGTCAGAGGGATGTTGGCGCTGACAGGTAAGACACGGAAATCCTGCTGATACCGAATCCAGGGATTCAAATCCTGACTCTGTTGGCCAGGTGCAGTGGCTCACACCTGTAATCCCAGCACTTTGGGAGGCCGAGGCTGAGGTCAGGAGTTCGAGACCAGCCTGACAAACATGATGAAACCCCGTCTGTAGTAAAAATACGAATATTAGCCCGGCGGTAGTGGCTTCTGTAGTCCCAGCTACTCGGGAGGCTGAGGCAGGAGAATGGCTCGAGCCTGGGAGGTGGAGGTTGCAGTGAGCTGAGATCGCGCCACTGCACTCCAGTCCGGGTGACAGAGTGAGACCCTGTCTCAAAAAAAAAAAAAAAAAAAGAAAGAAAGAAAGAAAGAAATCCTGATTCTGTCACTGGGCCTCAGCTTCATCTGTGAGATGGGTTGAATGCGGGCGCGTTCCACTGAGAAGGGAACTGCCACATGGTGGGTACCGGGTCAGGGCCCATTCTCTGCCTTCCCCCCTTCAGGACCGTGTTTCTTCGCCTCGCCTCCCTGGTGGTCCTGCTCTTCTCTCTCTGGAATCAGATCACTTGTGGGGGCGACTCCGAGGCTGAGGACTGCAAAACCTGTGGCTACAATTACAAACAACTTCCGGTGAGAACGGCATGGGTGTGCGTGGGACTCTTGGGTCCCTGAAGGAAAGATGGAGCTGGGTGGGTCCAGACTCTTGGTTTGGGCGGAGAGGGGAGCTTGGGGTGCTGGAACACTCTCCCAAGGGTATGAAAGTTTGAAAAACGAGGACCCCCAGAGAAAGTATTGACAGGGTCTCATAGGCTTGCGATGTGGAGACTCGGACGCGTGGGCCTCCAGGTGCCCGGGTCCCGAGTTCTTTCTGATATATTTCTTCCTTCTTCAGTGCTGGGAGACTGTCCTGGGCCAGGAAATGTACAAACTTCTGCTCTTTGATCTGCTGACTGTCTTGGCAGTCGCGCTGCTCATCCAGTTTCCTAGAAAGTGAGAGCCCCGCCCCTTGCTGTGGCCCCGCCCCTCTAGGACGAGGCCGTGCCCCATCGCGCTGTTCTTTTCACCGCGCACCTTTTTACCATTCCCGCCTCTGCCTGCTCCCTTTGCTTGCCCTAGGTCCGCAGATCTCCCCGCTCCCCGCCCTTGTTTTAGTGGGTTACTTCCCTCTGGCCCCGACGGCGGCGACATCTGGGTCCCTTCTAGTCCTCAGGACCCGCCCTCTGGACACACCCCCTCCACGTGGAGTCCTGAAAGTCCCGCCCCCCCCCCCCCCCCCCACCAATACGCATGCTTCCTATTGGCGGGCGGGGCGGTGGAGGCGTGGAAACTCCAGGCCGCCACTCCCCTGACTCCGGCCCGGCCCCGCCCCGTCCTTCAGGCTCCTCTGTGGCCTCTGTCCTGGGGCGCTGGGTCGTCTGGCGGGGACCCAGGAGTTCCAGGTGCCCGACGAGGTGCTGGGGCTCATCTACGCGCAGACGGTGGTCTGGGTGGGGAGTTTTTTCTGCCCTTTACTGCCCCTGCTTAACACGGTCAAGTTCCTGCTGCTTTTCTACCTGAAGAAGGTAAGGGGTAGGGGGGACCCTTGGGTCTGAGGCAGGAGGTATTGGGGCCCGCACTCCTGGGTCAAGGGCAAGGAAGATCCTGGGGGCCTGGATTACTCGGTCCTGAGAGAGGAGGGGGTTGGAGGACAGACTACTGCATCTGAGAGGAGGGGTCTAGGGCATTCTGACTTATATGTCTGAGGATCTGGGGACTCAGACTCCGGGGTCCTAGATGAGGAAGGGGCTCAGACTCCTGGTTCGGAAAAAAGGAGAGGCAGGTAGGCCGGGTGCAGTGGCTCACGCCTGTAATCCCAGCACTTCGGGAGACTAAGGCGGGTGGATCACCTGAGGTCAGGAGTTTGAGACCAGCCTGGCTAACATGGCAAAACCCCGTCTCTACTAAAAATACAAAAAAAATTAGCCGGGCTTAGTGGCAGGCGCCTGTAATCCCAGCTACTCAGGAGGCTGAGGCAGGGGAATTGCTTGAACCAGGGAGGTGAAGGTCGAAGTGAGCCAAGATCGTGCCACTGCACTCCAGCCTGGGCGACAGAGCGAGACTCCGTCTCAAAAAGAGAAAACAAACAAACAACAACAACAGCAAAACAAATTAGCCGGGAGTGGTGGTGCACACCTGTAATCCCAGCTACTCGGGAGGCTGAGACACGAGAATAGCTTGAACCCGGGAGGGGAGGCTGCAGTGAGAGCCACTGCACTCCAGCCTGGGCGACAGAGCGAGACTCTGTCTCAAAAAAAAAAGCCTGGGCGACAGAGCGAGACTCTGTCTCAAAAAAAAAAAAAAAAAAAAATGGAGGCACAGACTCTTGTGTTTCAGAGCCCTTTTCTCCGTGCCTTCCCCCACCAGCTTACCCTCTTCTCCACCTGCTCCCCGGCTGCCCGCACCTTCCGGGCCTCCGCGGCGAATTTCTTTTTCCCCTTGGTCCTTCTCCTGGGTCTGGCCATCTCCAGCGTTCCCCTGCTTTACAGCATCTTCCTGTAAGTGCGAGAGGCTCCCGCCTCTCTCCCTCCCTCTCTCCCCATTCAGTGTTCAGACTCCTGGCACTATGTGAGCCCAGCCTGTCTTGACTTCAGGATCCCGCCTTCTAAGCTGTGTGGTCCATTCCGGGGGCAGTCGTCCATCTGGGCCCAGATCCCTGAGTCTATTTCCAGCCTCCCTGAGACCACCCAGAATTTCCTCTTCTTCCTGGGGACCCAGGCTTTTGCTGTGCCCCTTCTGCTGATCTCCAGGTGAGACGGCCCAGACTTCTGGGTCTGGGTTTGAATGCGTGTGATCTGGGGGCCACCACCTGCGTCCAAGAGAGGAGAGGCTTGGGCGTGGGAGCAGGCAACGTACTGAGTCTGAGGGAGGAGGCCTAGGCTCCTGGACTGCTGGGTCCGAAGGAGGAGGTGGGCGGGACGTAGGACTCCTGGATCTGAAGGCGGAGGGGCTGGGAGACTGAACTCCTTGAGCCCAGACGAGGAGGGGCTTAGGCGTCCACATCCCTGGCTTCGAAGGAGCCAGACGTTTGGATATAATGGAAGAGCGTGTCAGGAGTGGCTTCCGTTCCTGTCTCCTTCAGCATCCTGATGGCGTACACTGTGGCTCTGGCTAACTCCTACGGACGCCTCATCTCTGAGCTCAAACGTCAGAGAGAGACGGTGAGCCAGGCGGGTCCCTGAGAGGGCCCCTGGGGAACATGGAAAGGGGTTGGGGAAGAGGATTGTCTCACCTCCACCTCTCTTTGCCCCAGGAGGCGCAGAATAAAGTCTTCCTGGCACGGCGCGCTGTGGCGCTGACCTCCACCAAACCGGCTCTTTGACCCCCGCAGCCCACGTCCCGCTTTCAGACCCCAGGCCCATTGTAAGCCTAGGTCACAACATCTGTAAACTAGGAGAACTGGAGAAGACTCCACGCCCTTCCAGCTTTGGTATCTGGAGATTTCCAGGGCCCCTCGCCGCCACGTCCCTGACTCTCGGGTGATCTTCCTTGTATCAATAAATACAGCCGAGGTTGCTGAGCGCGCTTTGAAATCTGCGTCCTGAAGGTGGGGGCAGGGCTACAGCGGGGCAGGAGCCAATCAAATGTACGGGCATGTTTGTCGGTGCAGAGCGCTCTTCCGCAAGGAGACTTGTCGGTCATGTCGGCCAATCGACGGCCGCATCTGGTAGCATCAGGGGCGGGCCAACTTATGATTGGTTCAGATCTGTGA
Source organism: Homo sapiens (assembly GCF_000001405.40). Lineage (NCBI taxonomy): Eukaryota > Metazoa > Chordata > Mammalia > Primates > Hominidae > Homo > Homo sapiens. Next base: position 134,766 of record NW_003571060.1, on the reverse strand, counting down.
CAAGAGGCGGTTGCTAGGGGATACCACGAGCCGAACGCCTAGCATTCGCTGTGATAAAGGGCGTCTCAGCCAATCACCTGTCGCTACAGGCCAGGGGGCCGTACCAACTAATTCGGAACCAATCCGCGGTCGAAGTAGGGACAAGAAAAAGGGGGGCATCCTCTCGCCAATCGGAAGTGCAAAGAGGCGGGCGTGCCAGTCCCTGGACAGCTACGACGCCATGAATATCTTGCCCAAGAAGAGCTGGCACGTCCGGAACAAGGACAATGTCGCCCGCGTGCGGCGTGACGAGGCCCAGGCCCGGGAGGAGGAGAAGGAGCGTGAGCGGAGGGTGCTGCTGGCTCAGCAAGAGGTAAGCTCGGAAGCCGGCAGGGCGGCGCTCCGGGGCCCAGCGCGCAGGCGCCGCGGTTGGGGGCCGGAAGCGGAGGCGTTGCGCAGGCTCAATGTGCCCCGTGTGAAATTCGGGACCAGGCGCCGATCCCACTTTCGAGGACGTTGCCCCGCAAACCTTGTGCCCACTTCCACGAAACCTTCCTTGATCTCGCCCTCGTCTTAGTTTTTCCCCCACTGATGTATTTCACATGGCTGGAACAGTGTCTAGCACAAAAGAGAAGCTTAACATTTAATGAATCCGTGAACCCTTGGACAGTTCAAGGAAATTCGGATCACTTTTTAGTTTGCCTGCACAGCCTATTTATTGAGCATCTACTGTATGCTAACTACATGCCGTGCACCTGACTTGCGGAATCCCCAATAAGCACTGTTCGTTCTTAGAGGGGCACTGTCATCTCTGTTGCACGAAGTGAGATGGCTTCAGTGAGGGGAAGGCACATTTTAAGGAGAGGCGGACAGCCAGGCTCCACGCCATCGGGCGAGCCCTTTCGTGCACCGCCCCCTAGACACATACACACAAACACGGGCTTTCCGTATGGCTCTTTAAATCTGTTTGGTGTACACCCAACTTTCATTTCCTTAGCTAGTCTGATCCTCCGCCGTGGGTGGGAGGTAGTCTAGGTTTTTAGAATCTCAGTAGGCTGCTGAGCGCTGTTTGAAATCCGCGTCCTGAAGGCAGGGGACAGGGCTTCAGCAGACTTGGGGTAGTCACTTGGAGCCATGGCTAGAATTCAGATCGTCTGGCCTAATGCATACCTTTATGGCTGTTTTAATTGTCTCACTTGAGGTTAGGAACCCCTTTGGTTTAGGCCAGGGACCTCCTCCCATACATCCTTGATGACCCGTGGTTTACTATTTGAAAGGGAGTTTACAAAACCCAGGCGTTGCCTCATCTGCCTACCCTCACCCCCAGCTAGGACAGGTGCCTCTTTTAGGCGCCTAGTGCTCCCTTTCTCATAACCCCAGCACCCTGGACTGCCATTTTCTGTGGTGGGCACCAGACTCACAGTTCTTGAATTACCTCTAGGTTCTGAATGTCCTGCCTATAACTTTCTCCCCAGGCCCGTACAGAATTCCTACGGAAGAAAGCCAGACATCAGAACTCACTGCCTGAGCTTGAAGCAGCAGAGGCGGGAGCCCCAGGTTCTGGCCCTGTGGACCTGTTTCGGGAGCTGCTGGAGGAAGGGAAAGGAGTGATCAGAGGCAATAAAGAGTACGAGGAAGAAAAGCGACAGGAGAAAGTAAGCTGGCCTCACCCACTTCATCAGAGGGGCCATGAATCGAGTTGGAGGGAGGGGGCACTTTAGCCATTGGTTGTGACCAAGGTCAAACAAGAGTGAACACACAGAATTTAGGACCATACCAAGGCATGACACTCAAAAAGCGTTGGCTATTGCCGTCTGGGCGCCCACAGGGGTTGGAGGTAGATGCTAGAGGTCCCCAGCTGCTGGGCAAACCGCTCAGTTCTCCAAACTGGAGGAGTCTCAAACCTGATGGGCTTTTAAAAATTTAAATCAGCCGGCTGTGGCTCACGCCTGTAATCCCACCACCTTGGGAGGCTGAGGCGGGTGGATCACCTGAGGTCAGGAGTTCAAGACCAGCCTGGTCAACATGGTATCTCTAAAAATACAAAAAAAATTAGCCGGGCATGGTGGTGCACGCCTGTAATCCCAGGGAGGCTGAAGCAGGAGAATCGCTTGACCCAGGAGGTGGAAGCTGCAGTAAGCCGAGATTGCGCCACTGCACTCCAGCCTGGGTGACAGAGCGAGACCCCATCTCAAAACAATCAAACAAAAAGTGAATCAATCGCCTCTTGCTTTTTGGCTAAGATCAAGTGTAAAAGGTACATCAGTGGCTGTGCATGGTGGCTCACGCCTGTAATCCCAGCACTTTGGGAGGCCAACGTGGGTGGATCACCTGAGGTCAGAAGTTCAAGACCAGCCTGGCCAAACATGGCAAAACCCCGTCTCTACTAAAAATACAAAAATTAGCTGGGCATGGTGGTGTGTGCCTGTAATCCCAGCTACTCGGGGGGCTGAGGTAGGAGGATTGCTTGAACCTGGGAAGCAGAGGTTGCAGTGAGCCGAGATCGTGCCACTGCACTCGAGTCTGGGCAACAGAGCGAGACTCCATCTCAAAAAAAAGAGGTACATCAGCTCTTGTCATTTATCTGCTGTCTCTGGACTTGCTGACCCCACCCATCGCTCCTCTGCTTTGCTTGATCCCTTCAGGCTTCTCTTCAAGTCTCTCTGCAAAGATGCCTGCCTCTGAACACTCAAGTGGCTCCACTTGTCCCCTCCTTCCCCTGCTGTTACTGTACCTGCTACTGTCCCCCCAGGGGGAGCTTTGCCTCTGTTTGTCTTCCATCCCCAGCACCTGGTCCAACTGGTTCATAACAAGCCTTAGATACCTGTTCGCTTAGATACCTGTGTCAGGGAGACACACCTGACACCTTGAAAGATTATATCACATCTCTTGTATTTCCTGGCCCCCTCAGGAGAGGCAAGAGAAAGCTCTGGGCATCCTGACATACCTGGGCCAGAGTGCAGCGGAGGCACAGACTCAACCCCCTTGGTACCAGCTACCCCCAGGGCGAGGGGGCCCCCCGCCCGGCCCAGCCCCAGATGAGAAGATCAAGAGCCGTCTGGACCCTCTGCGGGAGATGCAGAAGCATCTGGGGAAGAAGAGACAGCACGGCGGTGATGAAGGCAGTCGCAGCAGAAAGGAAAAGGAGGGGTCTGAGAAGCAGCGACCCAAGGAGTAAGAAGACCCCACCTCGGCAGACCAGGGCCCAGACCTTCAGGGCTTGGCAGCAGCCCAGCATGGGCACTGCAGCGTCTCTGGTCAGGACAGCCAGGGACTCCGTGAAGGGCTGGCTAGGTGGAGAAGTGGTTCTCAGCATGTGGTCCAGGGAGCCCTAGGGGTCCTGACACCCTTTCCCGGGGTGCTGTGGTGTCAAGCCTATTTTCCTGACACTGGTGGACTTTTCCACTCGTGTTCTCAGGCATGTAGTGCAGGTTTCCAGAGGCTGTGTGATGGGGAGACACCCTCACTCTGATGGCCAATGGCAGATGCTTGTGTCCAAACTTTCTTAGTTTTCACTAATGATTTGCAGCATATTAAGAGAACCCATTTAAACAAAAGCTCTTGGGGTCCTTGGTTTTTAAGAGTATAAAGGGGTCCTGAGACCAAAGAGTTTGAGAGCTGCTGGGTTAGAGAGTAAAAGCAGGCTTCTGTCTCCAGGATGCTGCACCCCTGGTCTAGAGGGGGTACACTGCCTGTAGTCTTCTTTCCTCTAGAAAGGGAAACTGAGGGCCAGGGGGCTGCTAAGTGTGCTTTCTTGACCTGGAGAAGCATCAGATTTTAAAGACTGGGGAGGACCAAAGCCCACAGAAGGGAAGGCCAGAGACGTGCCCATGGCGTCCCAGCACCAAGTGGCTGCTTCCAGCAGGCCTAAGGAGCTGAGGCTGGGGTGTGCTGGATGCAGCAGGGCTTCCAGGCGGCAGCTCCCTCTATGGGAGAGGTTGGGGGAATGGCCTCCTAGGGGCTACCAGCTTTCTGACCTCACTCCTCTCCCCACAGGCCTCCATCCCTGGACCAGCTTCGAGCTGAACGTCTGCGGAGGGAAGCAGCTGAGAGGTCTCGGGCAGAGGCCCTGCTGGCCCGGGTCCAAGGCCGGGCACTACAGGAGGGTCAGCCGGAAGAAGACGAGACGGATGACCGGCGGCGGCGGTACAACTCCCAATTCAACCCCCAGCTGGCCCGGCGCCCCCGCCAGCAGGACCCTCACCTTACTCACTGACTCCTGAGGGGGTACAGGAGAGGCCGCTGCTGCCAGCCGTCATATAAAACTATTTATTCATAAATATTTTCCAAAATGAAAATAGGTTTACCAAAAAATGTCCCTCACTGGGGAGGGGAGGAGGGGGCAGCCCTCGCCCCCGGGCCCCCAGGGTGGGGCTGAGAGGAAAACCTCCCGGCCCCCTCCCTGCTTCCTGGGAGAGGGGGATGCCCCGTGGCTTGGGGCCTCCCTCCAGTCTTCCAGGGCAGGGCCCTCACCTGGGCAGGGGGATCAGCATGCGGGGGAAGGGGGTGGGTAGAGGGAGGGGCCGGTGTCACTGGAGGTCCCGGTCCTCCAGGTAGCGGTACTCAAAGGTGAAGCCTTCCTTCTTCCGCTGGCCCCACTTCTCGTAGTCAAAGTAGATGTAGGTGCCCTGGCCGGGGGAGAAGGCGGTCAGTGAGTGGACGAGGAGGTGGTCTGGGATCTGGGCCGGACCAACAGACAAAGGGGACAATTCTTAGGGCTGTGGATGTGTCAGGCACCGGGCCAGCTGCCCTGCACGCACACACTCTCATCCATCCTCACAAGGTTCTTCTTGGGTAGGAAATGTTATCATGCCACTTCAGCGAGGAGGAAACGGAGGGGGCCGCAGAGGTTCCACCGAAGCCAGCTGCCAGAACGGGGCCCCAGCCCCAGGTGTGAGTGCACAGCCTTCGTTTCCTCGAGGGCTGTGGCTTTTGAGCACCTCTCACGTGAGTACAGGATGCACAGCCTAGCATTTAATCTTCACAAAGACCTCGAGGCAGTGGGTACTGTCACCCTTGTTCTAGAGAATGGAACAGTCTCAGAGTCTAAATCCAAGCACTCTGCAGGGACATTTTATTGGTGACGGAAGTGGTGTGGGAATTTCTGAATGACTGGATGCCCTGAAATGTACTAACTTGGAGGATGGTTTTGGGCCAAACCAGGAAAGGACAGGAAGTCTGTGGTTAACATCTGAGGACACAATGGGAGAGGACCTAGGTTCTAAATGAATGTCTTAAGTGCTTCAAAGATGGCAACCTGGGAGAACCAGGAGAGGGGACTGAGTTCTCTGAGGACAAGGACCTTGTACTACTTCATCCCCATGAAGGGGCTCGGCATCAGGGAAGTATTTGGTGGAAAAAAACATCACTGTAGAACACACCAACTGAAAGTAATTTGAAAAAAAAAATCCATGACACTGACTATGTAGCAGTCACCATTAAGTACTTACATGTTATTAACTCATTTAATCTTCATAACAACTGCATTAGGTAGGTGGTCTTCCCCCCATTTTTACAGATAAGTTAATTGAGACACAGAGGTTCGAGTGACTTGCCTAGAGTCGCCCAGCTGGACTGGGCTGAAACCCAGGTAGGTTGGTTCCAGAGTGTTTGCAAGCAGCAGGAATTTCCCAGTATTAGAACTTGAGAAGCCCATTCAAAAAAAATAGTTTCGGCACTGAGCCCCTGCCCTGCTGAGTGCTGGGACCTGGAGGTGAAGTGGGGGCCATCAAGGTCCCTCGGCAGCAGAGCCCACAGCCTGGTGCAGGGACACATACTGGGAAAATCCCACACCCCAGGCGAGTGTGCCCAGCACTGCAAAGGGGAGGCACTGGGCTGGGTGGCTCCAGGAAGGTTTCTTTGAGGAAGGGACATTTGGGCTGAGACCTACAGGAGGCCTAGGAGCTGGCCAAGTGGAGGATGAGAGGGCGGTGTTCCAGGCTGAGCAGACAGCCAGAGGGAGGAGTACTTGGTCAGGCTGAGGGACTGCGCCAGCTGAAAGGTGGAGGCAAGGGAGCAGAGGCCAGCAGGGGCTGCCTGGAGCCTGGGGACTCTACCCCAACCCTAGCAGCGGGAAGAGAGGGGGCGGGGCCCTCACCTGCTCAAACTCGTCAGTGATGGTCTTGGGCTCCTCGTGCCTCTGGAACCACATCATGTACTTGGTGTGGAATCGCCATGACTGCTTCTTTAGGGCCTTGGCTGCCAGATACTGTGCCTTAGTGCCCTGGGGGAGGAACAGTGGAGAGGGGGATCAGGGGGCCCCCAAACTGGGTGGGGAGCCAGGGGAATGGGGCAGGACATCAGGGCTGAACCCCGGCCCCCGCCACAGACCACAGTTGGGCTGGACAATCCTCTTGGAGATGGGGCTGGGGGCACAGAACATACCAATGCTGATCAGGAGAAGGAAAATGAGACAGGAGGTGAAAATTGCTTTCAGAGAAGCTTTGAGAAGGAAGAAAAACTAATGTGTGATGAGAGCTGAGAGAGGAGGCAATTTAGAAAATTTCCCAAGTGGGGATGAGGGTGGAGGTCACTCATGACTCACTGGGGTTGGGAGGGGGCTGGACAGCTCCCCAGTGGTCTCCAGGGAGGCCTGAGAATGTGCCGATGAGCAGAGTGGGGTCGGCCTAGACTGGGGCTGCTGGAGCAGGGCTGGGGAGGGGCCGCGGGTGAGCCAGTGGGCAACTGGAAGCGGGGCTGAGGTGTGCCTCAGTGGACCAGCCTCGCTGTCAACCCAAGCAGTTCTAACATCTCTGGGCTGGAAGGCGGGGACGGGGACAGGTGGATTTGGGGCAGGGGCCCAGGAGTGGGAATAGGGAGGGGGTGCGGTCCCAGTGGCCGCAGTGGGGCACCCACCTCACCCCTCCAGCCCGAGGGGGGACGGCGGCGGTGGCGGCGAAGCCGGGGGGCCCGAGGCTGCCCCGGGGGCCCTGCTGTACCTCCAGATAGTAGAAGATGAAGAAGAGTGTCTCGGTCGACAGGCGCTGGTAGAATTCCACAGTGTCCGAGTGTGGGGGTGGCATCTGGTGGTGGTAGGGGGGCGTCGGACAGGGGTTCCGGGGGAGGTACTGCCTGTGAGAGCAACAGGAAGGTCAGTGCCAGCTGCCTACTAGTCCTGTCGTGATCAAAAGGGTGCTCAGACATGCATCCCTGCGGGGGGAGGTGGTACAGAAAGACCCAGGGCGGTGCTGACCTTCAGTGGAGAGCCCAAGTCAGGGGCCTGGTGCTCTACCCACAGCCTCACAGGTTCAGCCACTGCCTCCTCCGTAAGACTCAAGTCCCAGACCATCCCCCTTCCCTGTGGCCCCTCACCGAATACGCTCAGAGTCAGAGGGGTGAGGCATGTGGTGCCAGGCGGCCTCTTCCATGGCCTGCTGATAGAGCTGCTCCTTGGTGAGGGGCACAGGGCCCAGTGGACAGACACCCAGCGACAGCGGTATGTTCACCTCTGACAGCTGCAGGGGCGGCTGGGCTGAGGCCGGAGGTGCTGATGTACTGCTCAGGATGATGTCTGTGGGGAGGGTGGGGGTCCGGCCCCCTCAGTGGTGAGGATGGGTCAGGGGCAGCCCCTCCTCTTTGGCCCGCTGCTTCCCCACCATCCTGGGTCCCTCACCTCGCTCGGTCAGGTGCAGCGTTGGCACAGGGTCCTCAATGCCAGAGCTGATGGCTGCCCGTTCCGCCATGGACTTCAAGGAGCTCAGAGGCTCAGGGGCCTGGGGAGGAAACAAGAGGCCTGGCCTGAGCACTTGGGCTGCAGGAGCAAGTGCAGCCTGACACAGGCCCCAGATGCTCTCACCTGCCCTGTTTGGGGGCCGTGGAGGGCCAACGACCCACTCCCCACAATCTACCCATGACAGGTAAAAGCATCAAACTGTAGGGAAACAATCGGAGACCACGACGCATTCATCAGCAGAGGAACGTCTCGTGAGTGGGACTCTGCAGCATGGAATACTACGCCGAGATTTTCAAAATACAAGTTCGTGACATACTACAGAAGTAAACGCCAACCTGCAGAATATGTACAGTGCGCTACCATTTTTGTCAAAGGATGTGCCAATAGTACACGCTCCTTCACTAGGGACACCTACACGCTGGGAGAGCTCCCGCCTGTCTTGAAGGAGGCAGGAGGTCTACATGCTCAGCTGTCTGCCTGTGACTGGCATGGGGTGACTGGAATCGGGGTGGGCCCAGCCCGGCTAGGCTTCAGTCTCCTTGCTGGAAACAGGTAGGTTGGGTCTCCAGCCCCGCAGCCACAGCCTCGTTTCCTATTACAAAGGTTACAGCAGGCTTCTGTTCCCCAAAGTCAGGGCTGGTTCCTCCCATCTCCTCCAGCCACGTGCAGCTGTCCCAAACCCCAGCCCTGTGCTGGACTCTCCACAACGAGTCAGTCGCCAAGGCTTATCCATTCTGTCTCGCTATATCGCCCAGGCAGGTCTCAAACTCCTGGGCTCAAGCTATCCTCCCGCCTCTGCCTCCCTAAGAGCTGGGATTACAGGTGTGAGCCACCACGCCCAGCTATCCGTCCTGCTTCTAAACCCCACTGGATGGCTCCCTTCCCTGTCGTGCCACCATGTCCCACACAGCCCAGGCCTGTCCTCTCCTGCCCAGACCACCCTCCCTCTATCCTGTCCTCACCAGCCCCAGGGGACCTTTCCAATGAAGTCATGTTGTTCCTTCTCTACTCCAAACCTTGCCATGGTTCCCGACCACCCACCCCAGCGATTCATTTTTGTTGTTGGTGGTGTTAAAAGATATGGACCCCTTCTGAAAATCTCAAAGCTGCTGTTTCCCTTTTTCCAGAAAAATGCACGCACTATAAATATCCTGTCCACCTACTTCTAAAATTTGGGCCGGGCACGGTGGCTCACACCTGTAATCCCAGCACTTTGGGAGGTCGAGGTGGGTGGATCACCTGAGGTTCGGAGTTCAAGACCTGCCTGACCAACATGGCAAAACCCCATCTCTATTAAAAATATAAAAATTAGCCTGGCGTGGTGGCAGGCGCCTGTAATCCCAGCTACTCAGTAGGCTGCGGCAGGAGAATCGCTTGAACCCAGGAGGCGGATGTTGCATTCAGCTGAGATTGCACCACTGCACTCCAGCCTGGGTGACAGAGCAAGACTCTGTCTCAAAAAAGAAAAAAAAAAAAAATTAATGCTTCTGTTGGGCCAGAAACTGTTCCAAGAGCTTTATGAGGATGATTTAGTCTTCCAAATAACCCTACATAGTAGGTATAATCGTGACTATTGCCGTTTCCCAGATGAAGGCACAGAAAGGACAATGCCAAGACTTGGACCTGGACAGCCTGGGCGCGCACACTGCCTCCTGGACAGCCTGGGCGCGCACACTGCCTCCTGGACAGCCTGGGCATACACACTGGTCCCCCCATGGAAGCTGCGCTACAGTATACTGGCTCACAAGCCAAGCCCCAGCTCCTGACCCTCGATGATCAGGACCCCACCGTCCTATCCTGCTACACCCACTATCTCAGCCCTGCAGCTGGTGGCACTGTCTCCTGCAGAGTGGACACCTCTCTCCTCTCTGCTGCATCCTGCCCAGCTTCCTAAGCACACAGGCAGATGCATGCTCCTCCTAAAGCACCTCCTGAAGCCCTTCCTGCAGCTGTTAGCCCCCCTGCCTGGTCCAGGTCTCAGCTTAAACATCACCCCCTCTCAGACCTTCCTGGGCCTGTCTCCCAGGTCAGGTCAGATGCCCCTCGGTGGGCCCACCGCAACCTTCCCTGCAGCTGCCCCAGCAGGGAAGCTTCCTAAAGGGTGGAACCAGGCTGCATTCACCCAACCAGTCTTTCTACTTGTGCAGAAAGTACACCAGTCTATGCCTTGTGAGGACAAACGGGGACAGAAACTGAGGGCCTGCGGGGGGGATGAAGATGGAGACCCAGAGAGAGCAAGCAACAAGTGCAACCAAGAGAAAGGAAAAGAGACCCAGAGAAACAGAGCTTTGGAGGGAACAAGAGAGGAGGTATGAGAGCCCCCAGAGATCAAGGTCACGGGGAGGGTGGTACAGAAAGACCTGGAGAAAGAGCAAGTGTGAGAAGGGGACAGAAAGCCAGAGAAAGAGATCCAGAAAGAGGGTGGGGGCAGGGGGTGCAGCTAGAGACCTGGAGGAAAGAAACAACAGAGTCAGGACACAGAGGCTCGGGGGATGTCCGAGGAGCCCACCTTGATTTCTGGGGCGGTGCTGAACTGTGGAGGCCCATTGAGCAGGGCACCGGCTGCCTTGGCATCACTGAAGCTGGGCGTTGGGGAGCTGGGAGGATTCACAGGCAGTGGCACCAGGAGGCTGGGTCCCCCTGAGTTGTTCCCTGAGCCTGGGGCCACGCCCCCAGCCCCCGTTGGGGCTGCCGCACTGGGTTCCTTCCTGGAGAGAGAGCATGGAAGAGGGGGTTGAGAGGAGGGTCCCTGAGGGTGGGATGGGCAGAGAGGCCTGGCTGGAGAGAGGGGAGACTGCACAGATCAGATGGGATCTGAGAGGGGCAGGTGAGGGCAGACAGATGGGAGAAAGAAGTGGTTCTCTGGGCAAACAAAGGCAGAGCCCAATCTTTGGAATGGTTTCTCATCAGCAGAGCAGAGCTGTGGGGGTGGGGGTGAGGATTCTCGGGTGCTCCACCAGGCCACAGGCTGATCAAAACCACTTGCCCTGGGCAGGTGTTCACAGGGCCCACTCCCCCTTGGGCAGGCCAGCTGGAGCTGGGGTGAGGGGGCAGGAAGCAGGCCTTTCCTTTGTGCACACTGATCTTTCTTAGGGCATTCTTCGGGAAACAGGCAGACCCAGTGGAATGGTCTGAGCTAAGATTTGAAGGAGTGGCTGCAGAGGAATAAGGACTTCGGGACAATTCACTTTGAAAAGTGAAACAGTGACCCTCCGGTGGCAGTCAATTGGCCTCAGGCAGGTAACAGAAATGGGGAGGAAAGGGTATGGGGCTCTTGAGAAAACTTCCACTTAGATGAGAACGTATTTTAGAATGTTCTGAAGGGCAAAGCAGGGAGGCTGATGTAGTTTCCTTGCTGGAAAGAAGTGGGGGTGTAACACCCGAGGGAGATGGAGGATAGCGCTTGGCCATTCCCAGCAGCAAGGGCGGGGGGTTCAGAACCCACCGATGCGGGGGTGAGGCGCCTGCGCCTCTCTGTTTCAAAAGGCTGCCATCCCAACCCTGCCGATGGCCGAGACACTCACGAGGTGCTGGGAGGTGGGTTGTGGGGGCCGGAAGGGGGGCCCAAGGCCTGGCTGCTGGCATTGTTGCCCCCACTGCTGCTCAAAGCCACCTCTGCCGGGCTGTCTGCCACAACTGAGCTGTAACCTGGGAACAAAGAGTAAATGGAAAGGGCTGCTGCCTGCTGCCCAGCCCCGCCCACGCCCCCCACCCCGCTGCCTCCTCACTCACTGGTGGCGCCATTCTGCTTGCCAGCCCCTCCACCGGCACTGCTGTTACTACTGCTGCTGCTCCCTCCACCTCCGCTGCCGCCGCCTCCGCCTCCGCTAGGCTGGACGCTGGGGGGCCGGGGCTGGGTCGTGCTGGGCCCACTGGGAGCTGGTGGGGCCACAGCCTGGGCATAGGGAGCAGGGGTGCCCGAGTTGTGGCTGGGAGCTGGACTGGCCTTGGGGCCCAGGGCACTTGGGGGTGCTGCGGGGGCGGGGACCCCATTGTTGCCAGGAGTGGTGCTCAAGGCAGAGGCAGCAGGCGGGGGGCCGGAGGGGTAGGTGGGCGGCACAGCTGGGGACTGAGGGTGCTGGTTGCTGTGGACAGGCTTGGAGCCGTTTTTGGCTGGAGACTGCGGGTGGGAGAGAGCAGAGGGTCAGGACCCAGTGGGCCAGCTGGTCTCCCTCACCACCCCCACCTCAGGCTCCATCTTTGTCCCAGCAGCCTCCTCTCTGGCCTCGCTGCCCCCACCTGCTCCTGCCCTCTTGGGGACCTGGGTGACCTTACTCACCCTCATGGCTTCAATCACCTTCATGCTTAAAACACTCACACTGATTTCCAGCCTGCCCAGCTTCCCAAGTCCTGCCTGGACACCGCCCCATGGACACCCCCACAGGGATCTGACACACAACTTAGGTTGTCAGCCAGAGAAGATCCATCTGTTGGAAGCCAGAGGACTAGTGGGAAACACTTAAGTGTTCTCAATATGAGATTAGCTGGAGCCGCCTAATGTCCAAGAGTAGAAGGAAAAACAGCTGGAAATTGGATAGTAATTCTGAATGTCACCTGAAGGGTCACAGAAGCTACTCACAGGGCTGGAAGTTACCAGCACTCCAGAAAGTGGTGGGAGGGTAAATGTGCTCATGGTATCCCTACCGCAGGCAATCTGTGGACAGCACTCCGGCTGCTGAGCCTAACCACCTCCTGGGCTTCTTTCCAGCCACCCCACAGGCACCTTGCGCTTACCAAGCGCCCAACAGGACTGACTACCCACTTCTCTCCTGGGCATCGCTGCTTGGCAGTGGGGGCCTGGGAAGGTGGCAGAGCCCAGCCTGGCCCCTGGAGTACCTGCCTCAGTGTCTCTCCTCATCACCTCCTGGCCCTGTTGCCCGCCCTCACTACTACCTGCGGGTCCCCTTAGTCTCCACACCAGCCTCCTCAATGCCCACTCAGGGTGTCCCCTTGGAACCATCCATCCCGTTAGCCCACAGAGGGGCCTCAGGCCCATGCTGCTCCTGCCTAACATTGTTCTGTAGCAGCGTTTCCGAAAGCGTGCTCCTGTCCTGGGAGATGTTAAAGGAGTTGAAGAAGCACTGCCCGCCACCGTCTCCTCTCAGAAATTTGCAGTGTGTATTATCAGCACAGCAAAGGCCCCATCGCTTCCTAGGCTTATTGGACTCTGGAGGCCACTCAGGTCCACAAAGCCTGAGCCCCTCAGCCTGACAGTCCCAGTCCCTGTGCTCACAGTTGGGCCCTGGCCCTGCAGACCTGGCCAGACTCATCTCTCCTCACTTCCAAACTTTCTGTCACAACTTGCCCATGTTACTGGCTGCCACCTCTCCCTGCCAGGCAAACTCACCTGACTGTGAAGCCCAGGGCACTCCACAGCAGCATCTCCTGACTGCCTGGCCAGGCCAAGGGTGACCTGTGTGCTACCCCCTTGACCACAGCACCAGTCACCTGTCCACTTGCCCTGCCCACCTGCCCTCAGGGCAGCACTGATTTCTGAGCCACCTGTGTCCACCAGCCCAGCACAGTGGCCGGCGCTCAGGCCTCAAGATGCCTTTGGGAAGCAACAGAGGAGTGAATGGCGTGCCCACCCGGTCCAGGCTCACACCCACCTGGCTGACTTCACTGTCTGTGGAACGTCCCCTCTTCTTATCATCTTCAGAGTTTTCCTGAGGTAGGGGAGGCAGAATAGAAACCTGTGTGACCTCTGGGGCTCTGATGGAGAACCGCCAATCTCTGAATGCCCCGGGGACCTGGGCCCAATTGACTGCCATTGCGGCCCCAGAGCTGGTCAAATGGCTGTCCTTAATCTGCCTGGAGAAACCATCTCAATTCAGGCTCTCCAGTCTTCTTGTTTTCTGGGAGCCAGCACTGACCCACCAGCCTCTTAAGGATCTGGGAACCTGCTCTCCACAGGGAAGCCAACCCTTGGATCCCTGCCCAAGGTGGCCAGCTACCCAGCCTCCTCAGGCAGCCCAGGCACCGGCCCCTCCCACTTCCCAGATCCAGGACCTAAACTGGCGCGGGATGCACCCTATTGCTCTTTATGTCCTTTAGGGACCCAGATATAGGACCTTAGCGTGTGCTCCAAGAGCCTAGACCCTGGATACCTAGATCTGTGTTTCCTCAATTACGCTCCCATAGCCACTTTGGAGTGACCCAGATTTGTCTCCTCGAGTCCTGCCCTGCTGGAAACACAAGGTACTAGTGTCCCGTGGGGCCTCACCGTGGTACAGTTGGCTGGGCTGGGCGGGATGGGAGAGCTGGAGGTGGTTGAGGTGGGCGTGCTGCTGGACTGGTTGAAGATCTCATCCTCCATGTGGCTGTGGCTGGGAGGGGAGGTGGCGACCAGCGCCTGTGCTGTGGGGGCAGAAGAAGGGCATGCTTAGCTGGCTCACACAGCCCATTCTGGGCCCTCACTTCCTGTGCCACGATCAGCCCCAGGGCCTCACGAATGTCCTCGAGGTCCAGGTCATCGTAGAGAAACTCGTTCTCCTCGAAGTCGGGGTCCTGGGATGAGTCAACATAGTACTCAACGTCGTCCTTGATCTTGCGGATGGCGTCAACGAGGATGGAGTCATTGTCCAGCATGCGCAGGATGGTCTCTAGCATGCGCACGTGGTAGCGGTGCTTCTCGATGTGCCGCTTCAAGCCCTCAATCCGGTCCTGCTTCTGCTGGCGAGCCCAGGGCCAGGCTCAGGGGCTGCAGAGCACCTGCTTGGCCCCTCCTGCCCCCACAGAACCTGTCCTCAGTCCCTGACCCCTGTGGAGACCCAAAGCCTCCACGCCATCCCCTTCGGGGTGGGGCAGTATGGGGTCCACCCACCCTCTGAGCCCTGTGGGGACCAATCTTAGCCTTGACATCTTGGGATCCCACTGCTCCCTCCTCTCCCCACACCTTTCTGGCTCCAGGAGTCCTTGGAAACCTCTAAAAGACCCAGAGGTCCTTGTGCCATCCCACGACTTGGCCTCCATCTGCACCTCACCTGACAGCCCAGATTTCTCAACTGAGCCCGCCCACCACTGTGACTGCCTCTGGCATACAGATACCCTCCGACCTGCTCCAGCAGTAACAATGATAACCCCCATTTGTGAGGAGCTTGCTGTTTAGAATTGTGATATCTGTCATCACTAGGCCCCCAACCCTACCCATTTATCCCTGAGAGAGCCCAGATTCCTAAGCCTCGCTCCTGCCCTCCCCTCAAGGCCCCTTTAGGATTTAACATCTTAGCCTTGGTTCCAAATCTCTGCTCTGTTCAAGGACCCATCATCTCCCCGAAAGCCCCTGGTTCCCAAACCCCTCAGAGTCTGACACCCAACCCTGTCATCTTCCACTTCCTGACCCTCTCCCACCCACAGCTTCCCTGAGGACCCGGCTCTCCCCTCCCTGTCTTTCTGGTTTCAGCAAGTCTGTACAGTTTGTATCCCTTTGAACTCATACCCCACAATCCCGGATTTTAGAACCTGGGACCCCAACATCCAGCTTTGTCCCAGACTCCTGTCTTCCTTCAGGCCTGGTTCTCTGCCTTCTCCATGTTCTGCCTTGTCTCTACCCACTGTGCTCTCCCTAGGACCAGGGCCCTCTGGGTGCCAGGAGGCCTCTTGCCATGGGTGTCCTTCAGGTCTCACTTTTACTCTGTGGCCCAAGCTCAACCTGCACTCACCTTCCCCCAAGTCGCTCCTCTTCACAAAGGCCCCACGGTCTACCCAGACACCCAGGGGACCCTGAGATTCTGTCTGACCTCCTTCCTGCCCCACGCGTGCAGCTGCTAAGCCCTCCCAATCCTGTCTCTCAAATCCCTAATCCCGGCTGTTGGCCCTGTCCGCCTGAGGAATCCAGGCCCCAACTCCCAGGAGCATAAATGACTGGCCTCCTGCTGGCCAGCCCATTCCCATGCCCATCCCCATCCCAAAGGTGTCGGGTCTCCCTCACTCACATCCTTGTCGCCCTTCTTCTTGCGTGTCTGCACTGACAGTGACTCCACTTCACTCTCAAACTGGTCCACCTGCATGTTGAGCGTGTCGATGGTATTCTAGGGGAGGGAGAGGAAGAGGAAGCCCATCAGCTAGGGTTCCGCCTACACCCAGGGCTCAGGATCCTCAGAGTTCACCTCCTCTTCTCTACCCCAACTCACCGTGAGCCACTGGCCAACCTCTTCCTTCTCCTTCTGGGCAGGATCTACCTTCTGGGCCAGGCCCAGGCCCTCTTTGCTGTAAGCTTTGGTTTTGGTCTCTCGTTCCACAACTTTGAACCGTTCCATTTGCTGTAGAGAGTGCAGTTGGCAGGGGGGCTCTCAAAGGTGGGAAAGGAGCTGACTAAGGGCCAGCAGACACTCCGACCTGAGCCTCGTGACCCTACTTTCTGAGCTCTGAGTCCGCTGCCTCTTCACTTCCCTTAGGTGCAGAAACCTTACTTCTCTTGAGGACCTCTGGGGTCTGGCCGCTCTGCCTCCGCCCCTTGGGATCTCAAGAATCTGGTGACCTTCCCACCTCTCTGGGACTCAGGCTCTGGGCTCCTACCGTCTCAATGAGCTTGCGGTTGTCTATAAGCTGCCTCTTGTCCTTGATCTCGTTGGACGCTACCCATGTCTTGATTTGGTCCCTCAGCCGCTGCAGATGGGAAAAGCAAGAAAGTCAGACCTCAGGACCCAGGAACTGGGGCCCACAGCTCCTTCTCCCTGGGACCCAGCAGTCCACTCTCCCAGTTCCCTCTACCCTCAGGACAAAGGCGTCCAGGCCCCCAGCCCCCTCACTTGTAGCTTCTTAATCTCCTTCTTTAGGTCAGCCTCATACTTTTCTTTCTGGTTCGCGTTGGCTGCATTGTGGAGCTGAGGGATGGAGAGAATTGAGAAGTCAGTGTGGGAGGGGATGTCCCAGTACCCACTCCAGTGATTCTTCCTTATGCTAGGGACTCGAGGACCCCCCCCAACCCCTACCCCCAATCCATCTTAGAGCTGATTCTCTTAGGTCCTCAGCATCTGCATATGTAGCCCCTCCCGCTGGTCAACACCCAGAGGTCCTGAGCCGCCTTCCTGTGCCCTCCTCTCTGAAGACCCAGATTATTAGGGTCTCAGCCCCTGTACCTTCTGCCAAATATCTTCAAACTGCTCCACGCCCTCGGACACCTTCTTGAGGCAGCGATCAATCTCACCTGGCCAGGGAGGAACAAGGCTGTGAGAATCCTGCCCAGGTGGCAGGTATCTAAAGAGCAGTCCTCAGAAGAGGGAGCATGTGGCTACAGGTGCAGCAGGAAGTCAGTCTAGTACCTTGGAGTTTGCGCTTGTCCGCCATCTTCCCTGCCCTACAGACGCACTCTCTTCATACTCTCTTGGAGACGGACGCTGCTAGGAGAGATTGGAGAGGAATTAACACGTATTCCCTGGCTGGTAAAAACCCAGAGACATGGACCTAGTCAGCATAGTGAGGTAGGTGGGACTGGTAAAGAGAAGAAGCATTTGCTATCTGACAAGAGACCAGCCCCAGTTCTCCTGATGCTCGCTTGACTGCCCAGCATAGTGTCTGGCCAACAGGGGACCCCATAAGTTTGTTGAAACAAGAAAAGTTACATACTTTTTTGTGTGCCTCTGACTCAGGAAGTGGAAAATTCCTAGAGCATGGAGTACCTTCTCCCCAGAATACACTCAAAAAGGTTTTTCAGAGCAGGACAGTCATGCTGCACACAGCTGATGACTGGGATGGAGGCATTAGCCCTGGAAATCACACTTCCTACTCAGAGGGGCTGGGCAGAGGTGGCTAGGAGAGGTCATCCCTCAGACAAGTCAGGAGACAAATGAAACTGGCAGCTCACAGAGAAGGGCGTGTGTGTGTGTGTGTGTGTGTGTGTGTGTGTGTGTGTAAGCTGTAGGTAGGAGAAGAAAGATTGGGGGTGGGGGAAAACGACGGCGAGCAGAGATGCCGAAAGCTGTGAAGAGCTGAACCCGCTCATGCAGACAGGGCTGAATGCCAAGTAGAAGGGACTCAAACCACCAAGACATTTATTCCAGAGCAGGATCCTTAAACCAAAAGGAAATAACACTCCTAACCCAAAGAAGCTAATACCAAGAAGGCTTAGAGATTTGGGGGCAGAAGGCAGTACCCAAGAGAGACCTGGGAGAAGACAGAAATCTTACTAAGATAAGAGGGTGCAAAGGTACCGCAGCTGTGAGGGAGCCGATCTGCACTCATGGAGGAATCCCATAGCAAGTGGATTGGTAATTTAGAGTCAGGGAGACATAGACCATCAGGGCAGGAACCCAAAACTTCAAGAGAGGAGCGTCTTTATTTTAAAGGAAGTTACCTGGAACCCAGAGAAGACTGAGGTCAAAAGGGAGTTCCAAGGAGCTTTAGTCCAAGGGAAGACATACCTTAGGGCCTGACAGCGAGACCAGGGGAGCCCTGGGAAGAGAGGCTTATGCCTCAGAAGAAGACTTCTGAGATACCAGCGGAGATTGCCCTCTTCCCCTCCAGGGAGGGGGCCTACAATGAAAAGCACAGTTCCCTGGGATCCACGGGCCGCTCCCACTCTACGTGTGCAGGGCAGGGAACCCTGGAGTAGTCACTTACTGTAAAGACAGAAACAGCCCCATACTGAGGAACAAGAGCCTCAATACAGAGGGAAGTCACACCAAAAGAGTCCTCACCCACAAAGAAGGGAACATCTGGCAAACAGTGCTATCCAACAGAACTTTGCAATGCTGGAAACACTCTATTTGCGCATATCTGTTGGCCACTGAACATCTGAAATGTGGCAAGTGTAATGGAGGAACTGAATTTTTCATTTTTAACTAGTTACTAATCACCACATGTGACTAGCAGCAACCATATGGGACGGATATGCTTTAGAACAAGAAGCCCATAAAGGACAGGGCTGGTACCTTACCCCCAGGGAGAATTTTCCCAACACCGCAGGGACCCATTCTGGGTGATAATAGGTAGGGGTGCTACCTTACACTTGAGGGAATTTAAATCTCCTCAGTAAAAGGCCCAACCTAAAGAAAGCCGCAGCAGCCCCCGCCCAGGTCAGCTATCACGCCCTACCTGGGGAATCTCTAAGAAGGCAAAGCAACCAACAAAAGGACCCAGGAGAAGGTGCCACAGTGGGGATTCAGGCTGAGGAGGGGAAAGCCCCTTTGACCCAGGGAGCTCACACAAGGCAAGGGCCTGGACACCAGAGCTCAGGTGTGCAGGGATCCTCACCAAAGTCCAACACCCCAACACAGAAAAGCCTCTTACTGCATAGGGGGAACAAGAATGTGAAACGAGAGTTTACACTCCCTCTTTCCATCCCAAGAACCCAACAGAGGGTCATGGGCAGGTGCTCCAGCCCAGAGAGAGAAGAGGTCTCATGGTCTACACCCCTAAACAAGGCAATCAACACCTTAGGCAGGTGACGCCCTCCCTGTGTCTCCACACGGAAAGGACTGGTATCCTAGTGCAGAGGAAGAATACCCACAGAGAGGAGACCACACTGTGGCAGCAAGAGAAGGAAGTCCTGGAGGGGTCACAAGCCAGAAGGAGGGGAACAAGAGCGCTAACCCAGGGAGGTGATGTTTCAGACAGAACAGTGTGACATCGAAGTCGGCTACAGCTGAGACCCAGTGAGGAGGCAGCTCCTCCACAGAGAAGGGGCAAGTGCCAGAGGCCCAGGGTACTTGTCCCCTAGAGAGGCTGGAGCCTTAGCCACAGTAGAGACAACACCTTCCCCGCTAAGAAAATCCTTATATCATGAGGGTATCTGTACCTCTGGTCCCCCCAGCAAAGGACCAGAGAGAAGGGAAGCTGGAGCCTGAGTCTCGAAGCAGAGACGCCGCCAGAGAAGAAAGAGCCCCATTTGCTGTAGTCAGGGGGGCATCCACCAAGATCCTCCAAGGAAGGTGGTGATCGCAGGTCCACTCTCAGGCGTGAAGAACCTGTGCTCCAGCAGCAAAGGCTCTCCAAGAGCACTGAGGAATCTGGGAACCTCGGCCCAGGAGGAGACTTACCCAAGAGGAACACACATCCCCACAGGGAAGGGACCCACAAGGCGGGTGGCGGGGCGGGGGGAGGTGAGCAGGACACCAGCCTCACAGGAGCCAACACGCTAAAATCAGAGCCAAAACCAGTAAAGAAGAGCCCCCCAGACTTCATCTCAGGGAAGATGATACCACCACACAAAGACTCGAGGAGGGAGGGGCAGGAGGTCAGCCCTGGGAAACTAACACCGGGTGGTCCTTAACCTTGGGGGCCGTCATGTGCCCACAGAGTGGTCTTTGTCATGAGGCACCTTTGATCTGGGAGAGCTTCCGCCTCTGCAGCAAGGAGCTCTGAGAAGTGATGTTGAAGGGTGATCCTTAACCCAGGTGGCTGCTGACGTGGCCACACAGAGGCTCTGAGACTCCAGAAGAAGGATGCGTTAGGGCCTGGGGTAGAGGTAGTCATCTCCACTGAGATGCCCCATGCCAAGGGTGGGGGGCTGGAATCTCCCACCTTGGAAAGTCTACACCAGAGAAGTCTCTGGTCCCAGGGACAGGGTCTACAGTGGAGTCTCCCGCTTGAGACTCAGGTATCTTACATCCACACAGCCAGGAAACTATGCCTTACCCCATACAGTGACAAATCAAGAGGGGGTTTTGGAAGCATGAGCCGGGGGCACCTGCATCCGAGAGGGGTCCTCAGCCTTACGGTGGGGACACATGCAGAGGCGTGGACACCTCAAATCCAGAAAAGCAGCCATACCAATACCAAGGATGGCAAGAACCTTATCCCTGGGGGAGGTGACACCAAGAAAGGGTCCTTACCCTGGAGAGAAGGCACAGCCCCAGAGGGAAGAGCCCCCACCTCGCAGTACAGGAACCCGGGTCTAGGAAGCTTCCTACTCTCATGGGGTACCAGCAGCGGGGCCAGAAGGCGAAACCCTTGTTCTCCAACTGCTGACACCCAGCGTAAGGGTAGATGGGAAGTCAACAAACCCACAGTGTGGGATCTGATGCAAATATCAAGGGCAGTGGGCTTCTTGGTCCTTGGAGAGCTGACACCCTAAAGGAGGAGACTGGTGTGAAGATGGAAGAAGCCTCATACTCAGGCAGGGGTGAAGGGAGGGAGGGGAGACATCAAAACCCCTCACCAAAAGGACAGGAGAGCTCACCCCGGGGTGGGTGGCCGCCCTGCACTGAGAGGCAGGGACTGCTCAGAAAGAGGGGCTGGTGCTGCCCGCAGTGGGAGCTCACTAACATGGACAGCGTGGCGGCTTAGTGTCTTTCACCAGGCACCTGAGCGCCAGGGGATCCCAGCAGCCCCCAGCAACAAGACCACAGTGGTCCTGATATCACTGGGAGACGCCCACACCCAGAAGGTCGGAGAGTCACGATGCAGGGGAGTTCAAGGCTGCAAAGCCAGGGGCAGACGCCAGGATCAAAGAAGTGTGAGAGCTGAGACCAGACGTGGGCCACACTGAGGACGGTCCTGTACCCCAGGTGGGGGAAAGCCAAACTCCCCCAAAAAGGCAGGCGCCCAGTGCAGCGGGATGGCGAGGCTGGAGCCACCCAGGGCGCTACTCGCTATGAGAGGGAAGAGCTGCAGACTACAGAGGTGGAAACTTCGGCAAAGGCTCCAACTAACGGGGAGTTTCTCCTCCACTCCTCTCCCAAGAGGCTCCCATCCGATACAGACGGGCAGCTGGAACCTGAGATCCAGGGGAGGCTGCGCTCCCGGGAGCAGTGAGGAGGGATGCGGAGGGCGGCCTCGGTCCTGGGAAGGGTGACTCCCCCACCCAGCTGGGGTCCTCGTCCCGACCACCACCCCCCCTCCCCGCCACCGTCGAGGGAGAAGCCCCGGCGCGGAGGCTGCCCCACAACGCGAAGGACCGAGGCCGAGGGGGGCAGGCACCTGAGCCCCGAGAGGGCGGGCACCTGGGACCAGGGGCGCCTCCATCCTTCCAGCCAGGAGCCAATACCGACGCGGAGAGGGGCGGGCACCTCGCGCCCGGGAGGCTTCGCACCCTCACACCCCTACCGGGGGGCCCGACGCGATGCCACGCGGGGAGGCGGCGGCGGGCGGGGCCCGGGGTCCGGGTCGCGGAAGGACCCCCGGGAGGCGCTGAGGAACGTGAAAGAGGCGCAGGAACGGGAGGGCGAGAGGGAGGGAGCCGCCCCCCGCCGGGAGCCCCGCGCTGCAGAGGCGGCGGCAGGGGGCAGGCGAGGGGAGGCCATGTCGCGACAGACGGCGGTGTCGCCAGGGCGGGAGGCGGCGGGGAGGGCGGCCGATGGCGCCGGGGGGAGGAAGGGAAGGGGTCCGGCCCAGTCGAGCCTGACGCTCTCACCACAGGAGCTGGCGCCGCCGCTGAGGAGCGTATCGCGACAGGCGGGGGAGGCGAGCGCCCGCCGCCTTTTTCTCGCGCCCCGGGCCCGGGCGCTATCGCGATAGCGGCGCGAAGCGGAAGTGGGGTTGGGGGAGTGGGCCCGGGGTTGTTCTGACGACGGGGGTCGGGGCTCAAGGGAGGCCGCGGCGTCTGCCGATGGCTCCGCGGAAGCTGACCGGGCCCGGTCCAAGATGGCGGCGGCGGAGGAGGCCTCCCCTCCTCTCTTCTCGTCTCTGGCGCCGACCCGCCCCCGAGTCCCGAATATAGGCCAGTCATTGCTCCTGCTGAACGTCGCTCCTGACCCTTGGAGGCTTTCTATTGGTTCCTGGCAGGGATGCGCCCTGCCCCCTTTCGCGGATTGGGTGATCGCTCCAAGGCGCGGCGTTCGATTGGCCTCCCGCGCAGGCTGCTAGGATTGGCTCAGGTTTTCCTCCCCGCTCCTCCTCCTCCTCCCGCCTCAGGGCACAACACGCCAGCGCGAGGACCCGAACGTCAATCAAGAGACCTGTGTCGTGCTGATTGGATGTATCCGCCCCCCTCTCTTAAAACAATTGGTCTGGGGGAGGAGCTACGACAGTCCAGGGGCGGGAAGTCGTCCGTCAAGTTTAGAGCTCTTTTTAATTGGTTGCGGGGGCATATTCTGCCTTGAAGTCATTGGTTGGTCCTGGAAGTGGGTGGGGAAAGCGGAGGAAGGCATGGAGTGTGGGCGTTAGGGGCCGCGTACCTAATGGGAGACAGACAGGTGCCTTTAAAGCGGGGGCCGAGCCGAAGTCATCTGCCAATCAAAACAGCCACAGGGCCAAGTGGGAGGAGCTGGGCAAGAAAGTCCACCCCTTTTTCTTCGTTGGCCCTAAAAGTTATCATTCATGCTAGTTTGACCAATAGCGTGGCGAGTGGGCGGTAGCTGCTCGTAGAGCGTGTGAAAGAGGGTGTATGTAGCTGGCAGAAGTGGGACTTGGTCGCAACCGTTGCGTCCCGGCCAGGTAAGCAGCTTCCCTCTCAGCTGCCTCGTCTTTCTCCAAGTGCCTCTATGTTGGCACATCTCTGAAATTCATTATTTGCTGAGTGAAAGAAGAAAGGGACCAGAGACACTGCTTTAAGTCTCTGGCACCGTGCATAGCAGAATTGGTTGGGAAGCGTGAGGCATGGAGTTTTTGTCCTGCCCCTGCCTGGTTAGGCGACCAGATGGTAGGACAGTCATTCTCCTCTGCGTCTCCGCTTCCTTAGTGTGTTGAGGACGCTGCAGAAGGTACAGAGGAGACGGGTGGCTCCCTAATGCCTGCTCGTTTCAGGTCTCAGCTCTGTTGTCTTCTTGGAGAGAAAACTTCCCTGACCTCCCTCCCGGGCGGAGCGCTCCTGCGCGCCTTGTTCGTTAGGATTTATTTTTGTACGTCTACCGTCATTTTCGTAATTATTCGGTTTCCCTGTCTGGATTTTGCATCTCCAGCACTTAGCACGCAGGAAGTAGTCAGTAACCATTTGTCAAAGGAATAGATGAATGAATGTGAGGAATGACTTGTGATTGAAAACTTACTAGACACTGAGACTTCCACGAACTGGGAGGCATTTGCCCAGGGTCACACAACCGAGATGGGAAGCCAGATTCGCCCCTTCCTGTCTAGGTGGTGGAAAGTAAGATAAATCCCAGGGAGAGGTGAACGTGAAGGAGGATGGAGCCGTTCAGCACCACCCGCATCAGAATGGTCTGAGGCAAGGGGGAGGAGGAATGCTTGCGAAAATGCATATTCGTAGGCCCACACACAGACAACGGGAATGAAGCCTAGAGTTATTGTTCTAGAGCTCTGCTATTCAAACTGTGGCCCCTGGACAAAGTATCGCTTCTCAGACATCTCCGGAATCACCTAGGAATGTGTTAAAATGCAAATTCTGCTTTTCTAACAAGTGCCGCAGTCCACGGTCCGCAGTTCACTTTGCACACCGCGGATCTAGCGATGACTTTCCAACTTGGCTGCACATCAGAGTCACCTGAGGAACTTGTTGTTATTGTTGTTGTTGTTGAGACGAAGACTTGCTCTTGTCCCCCAGGCTGGAGAGCAGTGGCACAATCTAGGCTCACTGCAGCCTCTGCCTCCCGGGGTTCAAGTGATTCTCCCGCCTCAGCCTCCCGAGTAGCTGGGATTACAGGCGCCCGCCACCACGCCCGACTAATTTTTGTATTTTTAGTAGAGACGGGGTTTCACCATGTTGGCCAGGCTGGTGTCGAACTCCTGACCTCAGGTGATCCGCTCGCCTCAGTCTCCCAAAGTGCTGGGATTACAGGCGTGACGACTGCGCCTGGCCTACCTGAGGAACTTTAAAAAAAAAAAATTTTTTTTAAATTAGAGGCCAGGCCGGGCCGGGAGAATCACTTGAACCCGGGAGGCAGAGGCTGCAGTGAGCCTAGATTGCGCCATTGCACCTGTAATCCCAGCACTCTCAGAGGCCGAGGTGGGCGGATCACCTGAGGTAGGGAGTTCAAAACCAGCCTGGCCAACATGGTGAAACCCCGTCTCTACTAAAAATACAAAAATTAGCTGGGCATGGTGGCATGTGCCTGTAATCCCAGCTACTCGGGAGGCTGAGGCGGGAGAATCACTTGAACCTGGGAGGCAGAGGTTGCAGTGACCCGAGATTGCGCCATTGCACTCCAGCCTGGGTGACAGAGCAAGACGCCGTCTCAAAAAATAAAAATAAAAAATAAAAAAGTCCAGATACCCAGGCTTACACTGGACCAACTAAAACGATCTTGAGGTGGGAGCCAGTGTCTCTCTCACCCAGGCTGGAGTGCAGGGGCGCCATCTCGGCTCACTGCAACCTCTGCCTCCCAGGTTCAAGCCATTCTCCCACCTCAGCCTCCCAAGTAGCTGGGATTACAGGCGTGAGCCACCGCGCCCAGCGTAAGAGCCGCTTACAGAGTCTTCTTTTCTAGAGCAGTGCTTCTGAAATGTGGCCTTGGGTCAGGCACGTACCCATCACCTGGGAACTTGTTTGAAAGGCACATTTTTGAGCCCCACCCTAGACTGAATCAGAAACTCTGGGCCCAGCAACTATGTTTTAACAAGTCCTCAGTGTAATTCTGAAGCGCATTAAATTCTGAGAACCTCTGTTCTGAAAGTACGAGGGCTGCAGGCCCAGGCGACTCAAGATTCCTTTCCTGAGATTGACACCCTCATGCCACAGCCCCATTGGTAGATGCCGGATATTTTGGCCAAGGGAGATGGGGGATTCTGAACAGGGTTGTGGACCACGGGTCCTTCCCTGGCAGACCAGTATGTAGAGATCAGCAAAGGTTGTCATTTTCAAACAGGGTTGACCCAGAGGGTCAGGGATAACATTGAGAAAACAGACTTGAGTTATACAACCTGGGGTAGTTCAGCCACTCAAGGGAACCTCCTGAGTGTGTCGACTTTTTGACTTGAGGAAGGAGAGAGATTTAGAGATTGCCACTGAGGTCCAGAGACAGAGCTCTGGGTTGAAGGACAGGGATCCAGAGATACACAGAGTGGTGACGGGGAGGCCCAGAGAGGGGAACAGAAAGAGCAAAATCTCAGACAGGACCTAGAAAGTCAGAGGGAGACCCAGATAGCATGAGCTGGAGAGAGGGAGGGAGAGAGAGAGAGGGAAGGTGGAGAGAGGGAGGGAGAGAGGGAAGGTGGAGAGAGGGAGGGAGGGAGGGAGAGAGGGGAGGTGGAGAGAGGGAGGGAGAGGGGAGGAGAGAGGGAAGGTGGAGAGGGAGGGAGAGGGAAGGTGGAGGGAGGGAGAGGGAAGGTGGAGGGAGGGAGAGGGAAGGTGGAGAGAGGGAGGGAGGGAGGGAGAGAGGGAGGGGAGGTGGAGAGAGGGAGGGGAGGTGGAGGGAGGGAGAGGGGAGGAGAGAGAGGGAGAGAGAGGGAAGGTGGAGTGAGGGGAGGTGGAGAGAGGGGAGGTGGAGAGGGAGGGAGAGAGAGAGGGGAGGTGGAGAGAGGGAGGGACAGAGAGAGGGGAGGTGGAGAGAGGGAGGGAGAGAGAGGGGAGGTGGAGAGAGGGAGGGAGAGAGAGGGGAGGTGGAGAGAGGGAGGGACAGAGAGAGGGGAGGTGGAGAGAGGGAGGGACAGAGAGAGGGGAGGTGGAGAGAGGGAGGGACAGAGGGAGGGGAGGTGGAGACAGGGGAGGTGGAGAGAGGGAGGGAGAGAGGGGAGGTGGAGAGGGAGGAAGAGAGAGAGGGGAGGTGGAGAGGGAGGAAGAGAGAGAGGGGAGGTGGAGAGAGGGAGGGAGAGAGAGGGGAGGTGGAGAGAGGGAGGGACAGAGGGAGGGGAGGTGGAGAGAGGGAGGGACAGAGGGAGGGGAGGTGGAGACAGGGGAGGTGGAGAGAGGGAGGGAGAGAGAGAGGGGAGGTGGAGAGAGGGAGGGAGAGAGAGGGGAGGTGGAGAGAGGGAGGGAGAGAGAGGGGAGGTGGAGAGGGAGGAAGAGAGAGAGGGGAGGTGGAGAGAGGGAGGGAGAGAGAGGGGAGGTGGAGAGAAGGAGGGAGAGAGAGAGGAGGTAGAGACCTGGAGGCATCATCTTCCCACCAGGCTGCTGCTTGTCCTGGTAACATCTCTTAGGTAACTAACAGAAGCCCGACCTTGTAGGTCAGGTGACTAGCGCTGCCTCCTTAGTACCACCGTGTAGCCCAGCTCCGGAGCACATAGTAAATGGAACCCCTGGAGTTGCTCTTCCTTAACCTCTCCAGGGAGACGGTTTCATGCCACCCGCTAGGACAGCCCCTGCTGTCCCCTGGAAACTCTCCTGACTGTCTGCAGGCCACATTCCCCTCAGTCCAAGTAAAGGCGCTCCTGGCCGAGCCCCGGTTCCCGAGACTCAGTGACTGGAGGTCAGGGGAGGGGAAGTGTGCTCCTTCTGCTCACCTGGCAGGACTTTTATAGCAACCAGGTCCTACCAGGGCAGGAAGCCTGCCTGCTTCGCCTGTGCCCGGCTCCACACAGTCCCTCAACACTGGTTATAAATAAGAGGCTGGGCCAGGCACAGGGTAATCCCAGCACTTTGGGAGACGAGGCAGGCGGATTATTTGAGGTCAGGAGTTCGAGACCAGCCTGGCCAACATGGTAAAACCCCATCTCGGCCGGGCGCGGTGGGTCACACCTGTAATCCCAGCACTTTGGGAGGCCGAGGCGGGCAGATCACAAGGTCAGCAATTCAAGACCAGCCTGGCCCAAATGGTGAAACCCCGTCTCTGCTAAAAATACAAAATTAGCCAGGCGTGGTGGCGGGCGCCTGTAATCCCAGCTATTCGGGAGGCTGAGGCAGGAGAATCACTTCAACCTGGGAGGCGGAGTTTGCAGTGAGCCAAGACCATGTCATTGCACTCCAGCCTGGGTGACAGAGCAAGACTCCGTCTGAAAAACAAACAAACAAACAAACAAACAAACAAAACCCATGGGCGCCTGTAATCCCAGCTACTCAGGAGACTGAGGCAGGAGAATCACCTGGACCCGGGAGGTGGAGGTTGCCATGAGCCAGGATCATCCCACTGCACTCCAGCCTGGGCAACAGAGTGAGATTCTGTCTCAAAAAAAAAAATAATAATAATAATAAGAGGCCAGACACAGCGGCTCAAGCCTGTAATCTCAACACTTAGGGAGGCTGAGGTGGAAAGCTCACTTGAGCACAGGAGTTCAAGCCCAGCCTGGGTAATAGAGCACGACCCTGTCTATAAACAATTTAAAAATGGGGCTGGGGTGGTGGCTCACACCTGTAATCCTGGCACTTTGGGAGGCTGAGGTGGGCATATCATGAGGTCAGGAGTTCGAGAACAGCCTGACCAACATGGCGAAACCCTGTCTCTACTAAAAACTATAAAAATTAGCGGGACATGGTGGCACATGCCTGTAATCCCAGCTACTCAGGAGGCTGAGGCAGGAGAATTGCTTGAACCCGGGAGGTAGAGGTTGCAGTGAGCCAAGATTGCACCACTGTACTCTAGCCTGGGCAACAGAGCGAGACTCCACCTCAGAAAAAAAAAAAAAATTTAAATTAACCAGGAGGCCAGCTGTGCTGGTTCATGCCTGTAATCCCAGCCCAGGAGTTTGAGGCTTTAGTGAGCTTCATCGCATCACTGTACTCCAACCTGGGCAACAGAGACCCCGTCTCTAAAAAACCCAATCATAACAGGACCTGGTTATAGGGCGCTGATGGCAAGTCCCATGCTAAGTGCTTTCTGTGCATTCTTTCCAGTCCTGGGCACCTGGGCGTAGGTGTGGAGGCTTGGAAAGGTGAGGAGGCTGGCCTGAGGTGGACAGCAATCCCGGTCGGCCTGCGCTGAGATCTGCGGCTGTTGGCAGCCACATCATTTGCTATCAAAGTGACTGCGGCTCTCCAGGGGGTTGGAGAGGGCTTTTTCCTTCTGGGATCCCATGACGAGAAAGTAACGGGGAAGGGAGTGGGCCTAGACACCGCTTGGACCCGAGGGCCAAGCTCTTTTCTCAAAGCTCCACAGCTCTGATTCTTCTAGTTGCCCCGGCTGTTTGAAAAATGATCACTCCCCAAGGACAGATCTTGACAATGTCCTTTTAATTGTACTCTTTTCAAAAAATCTCCTTTCTCAGTTAAAAAAGACAAGGCATGATGAAGACCTGCTCTAGCCCATACTGGGCGGTGATCTCGGTCCTGGGGGAGGCCAGGCCGGACTCTTCCAAGGCCTCCTCCCTGGGCAGTCCCAGCAATGGGGCCAGTGGCAGGGCAGGTTCTCCCTGCCAGAACCCGATCCTAGCCCTTCAGAAGGACTGGACCTCTGTGTCCCTTCAGTGGGAAGCCACCTTGGACACACGCAGTCATTCAGGTGGACATAAGGCCACTCTTCTCGCCCTTGACCTTGAGGAACTCAGCCATGCTGGAGAAATACTTCTGGTTGGCCTCAGCCACCTTCTTCTCTGCCGCCTGTGGGTTCACAATCTCCAGGCCCTGGGCAGGTGAGGGAGAGAGGATGATGGGTTAGGTGAGGAGAAGGCCCCAACTGTGACCCATCAGAGCCCCCCAGGCCCTTCCCCATGGCACTCAGGCCTTGGTGGGCATGAGACAGTTTGCCTGTCCCTGGAGTTGCCCTGTCTTGGGAGATTCTGACTCAGTGGGTCTAGAGGGAGAGGGTGGGGAGGAACCAGGGCGCCTGGATTTGTACGAAGTTCCTCAGGGGTGCTAAAAACAACCAATGCTTGAGGACAGCCAATCCTGCCCAGTTTCTGCATAAGGAAACTGAGTCCCTGGGGGACATGGCTGGCCCGAGGTCCTAGCACAAATCACACCAACACCACTGACGATCATAGTGGCAGCAATGGGAGCCAACACCTGGCTGGCACTTCCTAAATATTTTCAAGGCAACAGAGCGAGCCCCCGTCTCTAAAAATAATAACAGGACCCAGTCATTGGGCTCTAATGGTGAGCCCAGTGCCAAGTGCTTCCTGTGCGTTCTTTTCAGTCCTGAGCACCTCATGATGGAGGAGGGGAGGCTTGGAAAGGCACAGCCACTGGCCTCATCTTCTCAAAGAGGCCCTCCCTGGCTGCTCCGAAACGAGAGCCTCCCCTGTCCCACCTCCTACCTTCCACCTCCTCCCCTCCCTGGCATTTCTGCCTTCTTTTTTTTTTTTTTGAGACAGAGTCTGGCTCTGTCGCCCAGGCTGAAGTGCAGTGGCGCGATCTCGGCTCACTGCAAGCTCCGCCTCCCGGGTTCACGCCATTCTCCTGCCTCAGCCTCCCAAGTAGCTGGGACTACAGGCGCCCGCCACCACGCCCGGCTAAGTTTTTGTATTTTTAGTAGAGACGGGGTTTCACCGTGTTAGCCAGGATGGTCTCGATCTCCTGACCTCATGATCCACCTGCCTCGGCCTCCCAAAGTGCTGGGATTACAGGCGTGAGCCACCGCGCCCGGCCTGGCATTTCTGCCTTCTACTACACTGGGCATCTTACTGAGCTGTCTGCGCCCAGCCTGGCATTTCTGCCTTCTCCTACACTGGACATCTTACTGAGCTGTCTGCGCCCGGCCTGGCATTTCTGCCTTCTCCTACACTGGACATCTTACTGAGCTGTCTGCGCCCGGCCTGGCATTTCTGCCTTCTCCTACACTGGACATCTTACTGAGCTGTCTGCGCCCGGCCTGGCATTTCTGCCTTCTCCTACACTGGACATCTTACTGAGCTGTCTGCGCCCAGCCTGGCATTTCTGCCTTCTCCTACACTGGACATCTTACTGAGCTGTCTGCGCCCGGCCTGGCATTTCTGCCTTCTCCTACACTGGACATCTTACTGAGCTGTCTGCGCCCGGCCACCCACTGGCTCCAAGAAGGTAAGACTTGTCTCTCATTCGTTGCTTCATCCCCAGAGCCGGGAACACTGACAGAACTCAGCAGGTGCTGCGTAGACACCCGCTGACTGGGCAGATGAGCTCGCTGCTGTCTCGCCTCCGTGGTGCAGGCTCGCCCTGCTCTGTGGATGGTAAACCGAGGCTCCGACGATGCGGTGACTGCCATGCTCCACGCTGCTCACTGCTGACTGGCTGGGGCCTGGACCCACACTTGACATCCAAGCCCGCCTAGCCGGGAACTTTCTCGAGTGGGGTCCTGAGGTTACCTTAACCGTCCTGGCCGTTTTGAACTGGAGGGCCTGGAGGCTGAGCAGTGTTACCCGCTCACAGCCCGACAGAGGAACTGGGTGCCCTGAACACAGCTGTGGGCCTGGTTCTAAAGCAGTGCGTGCTCACGAGGACTGCTCAGCGCTGGGCTCTCGTCTCTGCTAACCTCTTCCTGTGTGCCAGGAGCTGTCTACGTCCTCTGCATACCTCGTCACCACACCCTCCACAACAGCCCCATGAGGAGACTCATCCTGGCCTTCTTCACAGGGGCAGAGGGCAAGGGGCCTTGCCAAGGTCTCAGGGCTGGGGACAGAGCCGGCCCAGGGGAGGTACCTGGAGTGGGGTGAAGGCCACGCTGGAGGCCGTGCCCGAGGAGCGGTCGCGGATGGTGGACTTCCCGCCATATACGACGCTCTGCTTCTGCAGGGTCCGCTGTGGGGAGGACAGGGAGGCTGCGATCTGGGCTCCCCCCACCTTGTGTCCCTCGGTCCCCAGCCCCACCTGGGTCTGGCCCATACCTGCAGCGTCTTGGAGATCCTGGCCTTGGTGGCCTCGTTTACCTGTGTCTGCCGCACACGCCCACTGCCCGACTTGCCCAGGTGGCCCAGGCTGAATCCC
The DNA here is from genome assembly GCF_000001405.40 of Homo sapiens. Taxonomy (NCBI): domain Eukaryota; kingdom Metazoa; phylum Chordata; class Mammalia; order Primates; family Hominidae; genus Homo; species Homo sapiens. The sequence continues at coordinate 103,573 of NW_003571060.1, read as the reverse complement.
AGGTCCTCCTGGTAGGCGTCCTCCTCGATCTAGGGGGAAGAGGAGGCGCCCTGCAGTTCAGCGACCAGGCCCTGCCCTCCAGCCACCGAGGCACCCCCTCCACCAGCCGGAAGCCCAGCGGTCACCAGCCGGCCGGTCCCACGGGCACCTGCTCCGGTACCCACTCGGCCCGGCTGAGGCCTGGGGGCCCACACACGCGGGGGATGCCGGGGAGCCTGAGAGGGGCCCGGTCCCAGCACTGCTCTGTGAGCTCAGAGTTGGGAGGCCATTCCTTCCTTACTCGTGTGGGTCGGGGGATGTCAGGAACCAGAACAGGTTTAATAGGATGAGGTGGCCTCTGAGTTCGGTCCTGCAGGACCAAGGGGATGACGCTGGGATAACAGAGGAGACTGGCGGGGCCCAGGGACGGGGCGGCCGTGCAGCAGGGCACTAAGGAGCCTCTGGGCAGGGAGGAACCGGCCAAGGAGCCCGGGGCGATGGGAAGCCGCGGGGGCTCTAAGCAGCGGAGACACAGGCTCCAAGGGCCGCGAGGGTCGCTTTGGGGCTGAATGGATGGAAACGAGAATAGAGGCCGGGGGGGAGGAGGCTGGGGCAGCGCCCTAGACATGAGCCAGGGCCACAGGACGAGAGGAGGGGCGGTGGCAGGAGGCAGAGGGCGGTGGCGGCTGGCTGGCTGTGGGGTTGAGGAGGGCGCTCTGGGAGTCTGACCTCTCCGAAGCTCATACGGTTGGCCTGCTTCCGGATCTCCGTCAGCCCCAGCCGCTCCTTCATCTTGCGGTACCTGGGGACGGGTGGGTGGGCGGCGCCAGGGAGTCGGCTGGGAGGAGGACGCCGGCTTCTCCCCTCCATGACCCCCATGCCTACCGGACCCCCAGGGCCCCTCACCTGCGGCCGCCTCGCTTCTTCCGCTGTCCATCCAGGGGCGCAGGCAGCGGCTTCACCTGCTTCACAGGCGGCGGCTCCTGCCACTTGTCGAATTTGCGCTCGATCTCATCCTTCAGTTCGTAGCCCACCTGGGGAGGGCGAGGGGGAGGTCCTGCAGCTGCTCGCGTGGGCTGCCCACCCAGGCCTCCTCTGAGCGGACCCCCCGAGTATCCACGTGCCTTAGTTAAATCAGCACCTAATGCTGCCTCACCGCCACCCCCTTTCTTTTTCTTCTTGGTGTTGACTTAGCACCGCTAGACGCAGGACAGAGTTCACCTGTTGACTGTCTCTTTGACCCGGCCCCAACAAGAATGTCCACGCCACGGGGCAGGGGTCCTGTCTGTGCTACTCACAGCTGCACCCCCACACCCAGACCAGGGGTGAGATGGGGAGAGGGAAAGGAGAAGGGGACACGGAACACCTGAACGCTGTGCCAGGCCGGGTGCTTGGCAAACGACAGTTCACAAGACAGAAAACGTCTCCTCTCCCGAGTACATCTACCAAGGAAGACAGAAGGTAACTGAATAATTACTTGAATAACATCCCCTGTTGCAGCGGGGACAGATCCTGGTGTGGAAGGCAAATTACGCCCCCACCAACACACACATGCCCAAAGAGGCCCATGTTCTAATTCCCAGAATCACAGGGCAAAAGGGACGTGAAGAGGTTAAGAAGGATTTTAAGGATTGTGAGCTGGGAAGACTATCCTGGACCATCTGAGTAGGCTCAGTATAGCCACAGGGGCCCTTAAAATAGAAGAGGGGAACAAAAACAGAGGCCGAGATATGAAGACAGAAGCAGAGTCAGAGAGAGGTCTGAGGGTGCTATGTGGCTGGCTCCGCAGACAGAGGGAGGGCCACGAGCTAAGGGGTGCCAGTGACCCCTAGAAGCTGGAAAAGACAAGGGAATGGATTATCCCTTGAATCCCCCAGAAGGAACGCTCCAGGATGACACCCTGACTTCAGCCCAGTGAAACTCATTTTGGACTTCTGACCTACAGGACCACAGATAATAAACCTGTACTGTTTTTTGTTTTTGTTTTTAGATGGAGTCTCGCTATGTCACCCAAGCTGGAGTGCAATGATGCAATCTCAGTTCACTGCAACCTCCGTCTCCCAGGTTCAAGCAATTCTCCTGCCTCAGCCTCCTGAGTAACTGGGATTACAGGTGCGTGCCACCACACCCGGCTAATTTTGGTAGAGATGGGGTTTCACCATGTTGGCCAGGCTGGTCTCAAACTCCTGACCTTGTGACCCGCCCACCCTGGCCTCCCAAAGTGCTGGGATTACAGGCGTGAGCTACTGCACCCGGCCACACCTGCACTGTTTGAAGCCAGTAGGTTCATGCTACCTTCCAACAGCAGACCTAGGAAACCCCACTGGGGAAGGGGGTGCCTGACCCCAGGGAGGGTGGGCAGAAGCACTGCCTCCGCCTTGGTAGGACAGTGCTCGCTGGGGTGGGCTCCCTGCTGAGGGTCTCCCTGCAGAGACACCCCAGGCCCAGAGGAAAAGACGCCCGGCCGCCCCTCACCTTTCCCTCCTCACCTTCCCTTCTGTGCTCTCGTGGAAACTGTCCACACGGGCTGCCAGTGTGCACTTGGCGGCCACCAGCCGGGCCGCTTTCCGCCGCAGATCCTGGAGCAACGGAAAACGGGGGTGGAATCTGTGTGAGACAGACAGACAGAGGTAACAGCAAAGCAACCGCGCGCGCTCCTCCTCTGGCTCTACCTGGGGTCCTGGAAGGGGGCTTTCCACCCTTGGGCTCTAGAGGTGTGTGCTCTCAGCTCCTACTTCACAGGAAGAGGGGATGAGGGCAGGGCACAGAGCCATGTCCCAGCTGATAAGTGGCCATCAGGTAAGGATGACAGTAAGGCACGCTGACAACGAGGACGGTGGTGACTGTGGAGACGCCGGGGGGAGTGCACTCGGCCTGGATGCCAGCCCCATGCTAAGCACGCCCCTCGGATCATCTCATCAAATATTCAAATATTGGGCTGGTGTGATCATTGCACCCCCTTTTCAGATGTGGAAACCAAGGCTTCAAGTCATGTGGCCAGGGAGACAGCCAGCAGGTGATGGAGCCAGGGTTCCAATCCAAACTGCAAACAGAGCCCAGCTGTCAGCCACAGTGAAGCGATGGCCAGCCCTGGCCTCCCTTACAGGCCTGTGGTGTCTACGGCCTGTGCCTGGACCGATGTGAGATGGCCAAATGAAGAGGCAGAGGCCTGGGTGACAAGACATCAGGCTCCCTGGGGCAGGTTTAACCCATATGCCCAGGGCTGTGAGGCGGTGGCGATGGCAGGGGTGCAGTGAGGCAGCTGGAGCCCCGAGCCCCAGGCCCACCCGTCCTGGGTTCTATCGCCCACTCTCTCTCCTCCCAGGATGGGGTGACCTGCCAGCCTCCCTGGGTGTGTTCCAGTAGCAGTGCCTGACCTAAAGGGTCGCAGAAAAGACCACAAAAAAAACCCCACACAGGGCTGGGGGGTGGGGCCAGGAAGTGCCTGCCCAGCCTTGGCCATCAGTGCTATTGTTCTCCCCATCCCTGGGGGAGGCCAGGCAGGGCACAGGGCCGTGAGCCTGAGGTAACTCGCCACAGTCGGACAGAGCAGGGTCTGGACCCAGGCCTGTCTGTCCCAGAACCTGTCTTGTTTTTTTTTTTTTTTGAGACAGAGTCTCACTCTGTCACCCAGGCTGGAGGGCAGTGGTATGATCTTAGCTCACTGCAACCTCCACCTCCTGGGTTCAAGCGATTCTCCTGCCTCAGCCTCCCAAGTAGCTGGGATTATAAGTGTGTGCCACTATACCCAGCTAGTTTTTTGTATTTTTGGTAGAGATGGGGTTTCACCATGTTGGCCAGGCTGGTCTCGAACACCTGACCTCAGGTGATCTGCCCGCCTCGGCCTCCCAAAGTGCTGGGATGACAGGCACGAGCCACTGCGCCCCGCCAGGCTAGCGGGCCTGTGTGTGTGCTGTCAGGCGTCGATGCTGGGATGGTGATGTGTCCCGACTGCAGGGAGAGGACCCGGGAAGCTCCGAGGTTGGTGACCTCTCCTGCCCCTCCTGTGTGTCTCTCCCCATGGCTGATGTGCAGCCCTCAGTGGATTCTGTGAGTCTTTCTAGTGAATGGTCAAACCTGAGGGTGGTCTTCGGAGCAGTTGCACGCTAACCCGACGCTGCTTGTCGTGAGCTAGGCCTGAACTGTAAGTGCTTCATGTGCACTGAGCCCTCGTCCCAACTCATGAAGCAGGCGCTGTGCTCCCATTTGATAGGGGAGGAGACTGAGGCACAGGGCGCTCATGCCTCTTGCCCACAGTCACCTGACTGGTGGGTGCTGGAGCTGGTCTGCTGCAGAGCCCTGGCTCTCACGTCCCATGCCACCCTGTTCCCAGCTCCTGAGTGCTACCGTCAGCTGGGCCAGATGGTGGGTGGCTGCTCAGGCTGTCTGGGCACAGCGGAAGGCTCCAGGGGGGCCGGGGGAGGGGCCATGACGCAGTGGGCTCACCGGTGGCAGGGACTGCACGATGTCACTGTGGTAGATGTAGCCGGTGTGGGGCAGCACTGAGGTAGACGAGAAGCCCGACAGCGTCTTGCGCTGGGCCCCGAGCAGCATGATGTTGCAGGCGGGCATCTTGGAGAGGTTGGTCAGGCCGCCGGCCACACCTGCGGTGGGAGGGAGGGAGGAAGGGGGGGCGGTCAGAAGAAAGCAGAGAGGTGGGGGTGAGTAAATCTGCCTGGGGGCTCGACGTGTGCTGGGCACCTTTACATGAAGTTCTGGTTGGATTCCTCGATGGCCCTGCCAGGCGGGCGACCTGGCCCATTCCGCAAGGGGCAGATGCAAAGGAGGCTCAGAGAGGGAGGGCAGCTGGCCTGGGGGTGCAGGGAGGAGGCCCCCAACAGGAAGCTGACCACCACGTTTGTGCTAAGCCACACTAACGCCGTTCCAGGGATGGCTGTGTTTTGGAACCATTTTCACCAAACCAGGAGCTCCCTGACAACAGGGCCTGGGTGTGGTCATCTCTGGGTTTCCGGCACAGGGGAGGGAGAAGGAGCTGTGGGTGAGTGTTTTTCCCACAGACGAGGCTTTGCTGTGTGCCAGGCTGGCTGACCTCTGTGATGTCCAGGGAGACGGGGTGCTGAGGTCCAGGTGCCAAAGCCCCCATTCTACAGAAAAGGATGTAGCTTTCCCAAGGTCACAGTGTCAGCAGACCCCCGCTCCATGGGACCCAGCCCGGGGACTCACCCATGATCTTGGCGGCCGTGGATGCCCCGATAATGATGGACAGGTTGGGTGCGATGAAGGACATCCGGGACTCCACATACTCGTAGATGCGGTGCTTGGAGGCGTTCAGCTCCAGCGCCATGTCGCAGGCCTCCTCCAGCCGCTCCAGCTCCTCCTCCGACAGCTGCTGCCTGCAGGGGCGGGTGGGCCCAGCCTCCTGGATCTCCCGCCTGCCTGGTGTGCCCAGCCCCAGCCCTCTCGGTTCTGTGTGTGTGTGTGCATGTGTGTATGTGTGTGTGCGTGTGTACACCTGCGTGTGTAGCTCCAGCCTAATCCCCAATCCCATTAGGGCCCGGCGCCTCCCTCGAAGCGGACATACCCCTGGGTGGTGGAGGCGGTGACGCTGACGACCATGATGGTGGCATTGGTGAGGATCTGCTGCAGGTTCTCATTGTTCTTGCACTTGTCCAGGCTGTTGCCCAGCTCCTGGGGGCGAGCAGAGAAGATAGGGGAGGCTCGGGAACTCAGGAAGGCTCGAGAACCTCTCTTGCTCAGCACCTCCTCAGGTCTCTTCTTAGGGACACTGGGACAGTCAGGGTCTCTGCACTGGGGGCCTCTCCTGCCTCCACCGCCTGAAGCATCCACACCATTCCTGCCTCCACCACGTCAAGCATCCACACCATCTGCCCTGCTTTCGCTGACCTGGAAACGGAGCCCGGGCAGAGTGGCGTCTGGAAAGACTGTGGCCTCACAAGCCTCTGGCCTGCGTCAAGTCGGAGTGCAAATCCGCGGCCTCGCTTCCCTGCAGGGGCTTCCCCACCGCCATCCTAATCCTTTCCTGGACATGCGTGGGGACCTCCTCCTCTCCCCGCCCTCACGCACACCTGCCCCTCTTTTCCGAAACCCTTCCTTGGCTTTCTCCTAAGACCCAAAGGCTGGACGTGATCCGACCTCTTCCCCGTCCCCTCCTTCCCCGCCTCACTTCCTCCCCACTTGTTCCCTCTCCAGCTCTCTGCACTTAGACGTCTCTCTGCCCCAAATCTCCGTGTGCCTGCCCTGTGTCAACCTTCGGATGTCAACTCCAATGCCACCGGCTCCAACCACAGCGGGAGCAGCGTGGGTCAGGCCAGCGGGGAAGCCCTCTCGGGAGACTGGGGTTGGAGGGGAGCCCTGAGAAAGTCCTGTCCAGGCTCCGTCCCTCCCACGCTGGGCAGAGCAGACCACTGAGCCCTCGTCCACTCCTCTCCATCGTCTCCAGACCCTGAGGCCTCTGGGAGGGGGTCCGAGAGTGAGCCCCGCCTGCCCCTTCACGCCAGCAGAAGCACCCCACCTTCTCTGCGCTCACCTTGACCGTGCGGATGTAATCCAGTGCATTGGGGACCAAGGACTCCAGTTCAGGGAATCTCTTTGAGTACTTATCCCGGATGAACTTATGGATGATGTCTAGGGTAAACGGGACAGGAGGTTGTCGGGTGAGATGGAAGGTAGACTCTGCTGGTTGGCCCTAACACCCATGTCCCCTTCTTCCTTTAGTAACTGAAGCCCTGGCTTGTGGCCTGGCACACGGGCACCAGCATACAGCCTTTCTCAGCCGTCCTTACCGCTAGGTGTGACCAGGGGAATTAGTTCTGGTCTGTAAAACGTGAGCTGCAGTGACATGTTCTTAAAGAAAAGAAGCGCCTTGCTGGTGGGAATGCGGAGGTGATGGCTGGAGGTGGGGCAGTCACCTCGCACCGTGAGGCAGGTGGCCGACCAACAGGATGGAAAGAGCCGGGGCCCTACAGGCAGCCAAGCGGCCACACCATCCCCGAGTGCTCCTCAGACTCATACGCGAGAGAACGCACTTCCTTCTTATTTCAGCCACTCTGTGACAGCAGGTCAACCTCGATCTGAGCTTGGGCTTAGGGGCAGGACCCTGGGAAAGGCCAGTGGGGAAGGGAGAGGGGGCGTGAGGGACGTCACACGGGGCTGTCTCCGCCTGCCCCCCAGCACTCACTCAGCTCGTTTTCGATCTCCACGGTCAGGTTGTTGGCATCCACGATGACGCGGTATTCAGGCGCGGCCTCCACTGGTCCCATCACTGTGAGGACACGGAGGCATGGGTGTGAGTATCTAAATCCCTACCCCCTCTCGGGTCCCGCAGCTGGAGGAGGCGGAGGATGAAGTTGGGAGGGGTCAGGAAGGAGGGGCTGAAGAGTAAACCAGGGACAGGCTGATGTCTGCAGACATCCCTGAACTTGTGTTCCTGCCTTCAATCCCTCTCCCTCCACACCAGTCTAGACTTGACCCCATCTACCCCAGAACTGACCGTGTGAAACCTCCTACGGCTCCCCACAGCCCCAAGGCTAATGACCGAGTCCTCAGACTGACATTCAGGGCCTCCCCAACTCCGGAAGCTCTGCAGGGACCAGTGCTGTGCCTGCGTTGGCTGTACCCACAGCCGAGTACCCAGGACAGCACCTGGCACACAGGGAGTTCCCCCGTTCCTGTTTGCTGACTCAGCAGCTCTGCAGTCTGGCCTCCCGCCCTTCCCGCCCCATCCTCTCACCACACCTCATTTTATTCCACTCCAGCCATAAAGGAGTGATCACAGTGCCCCAGACACCCACTCCTCCTAGCCTTTTTTTTTTTTTTTGAGACATAATTTCGCTCTGGTTGCCCAGGCTAGAGTATAGTGGCATGATCTCAGCTCACTGCAACCTCCGCCTCCTGGGTTCAAGCGATTCTCCTGCCTCAGCCTCCTGAGTAGCTGGGATTACAGGCATGTGCCACCACGCCCGGCTAATTTTTTTTGTTTGTTTGTATTTTTAGTAGAGACGGGGTTTCACCATGTTGGGCAGGCTGGTCTCGAACTCCCGACCTCAGGTGATCCATCTGCCTTGACCACCCAAAGTGCTGGGATGACAGGCGTGAGCCACCGCGCCAGACCCCTCCTGGCCTCTGCATGTGCTGCTCCCTCTCCCCAGAGCATCCCTTACCCCACGTCTGTTTCTGGAAAACGCTTCTTTGTGCTTTAGTAATAAGAGGTCAGGCACAGTGGCTCATACCTGTAATCCCAGCACTTTGGGAGGCTGAGGCAGGAGAACTGCTTGAGCCCAGGAGTTGGAGAGCAACCTGGGCGACATAGGGAGACCCCATCTCTACACATAATTAAAGAAAAAAAATTAGCCAGGCATGGTGGTGTACACCTGTGGTCCCAGCTGCCTGGGAGGCTGAGGCAGGAACGCCTGAGCCCACAAGGTCAAGGCTGCAGTGAGCTGGGATCGTGCCACTGCATTCTGGCCTGGGTGACAGAGTGAGACCCTGTCTCAAAAAACAAACAAACAAAAAGATGTTGTGTTTAAAAGTCATGCAAATACTAACTGCCTGATGTCACAGCCAGTAGAAGGCAGAGCTCAGATCTGACACCAGGCAGGGCGGCGTCAGAGTCTGCACTCCTAACCCTGATGCTCAAATGGCTCTTTAAGTCCTTAAGACTCAGGCAGCGACTCAGAATCCTTCCCTCCCTTTCTGGAAGGATCAGACGCCTCCTCTGTGTACCCGCAGCACTTGTGCACCTCCAGTAAACAGGGACTGCCACAGCTTGTGAGATGTTTCACCTCTGCCTCCTCAACCAGACACCGGGTGTGACGGGGTCTGACTCCATCCCTGAGCCTGGCCTGACATCAGGAAATGTCACTTTCTGTGTCCCATAACCCTCTGGAGGGAGAAATTCCTTGGCCTGGCATCTGGAACTCTGCAGGATTCTCTCTCCGGATATCTGAGGCCCCGGGCCTGCCGCTGTCTTTCCCTGGGCCCCCTTCTCCCTTTCTTTGCCTGGCACATGCATTCATGCTCTACAGTCCAATTCAGCTATCGATTCTTCCTGACACCTGGGGCAGGGTCAGCCAGTCCCTCCTGTGGCTCCGGTGTCCCCAGCTTGGTACCACCACTGATAGCTGTCTGGAACCTGGCCTGCCTCTTCCACTAGACCTTGAGTACTTTGAGAGCAAAGACCTGGGCGATTCAACTGGGTGCCCAGGTAAACGTTAAAGAAAGCAAGCAGTGAGTCTCCCGAAACTCTGCCCTCTCACTACACTTCTTTCCCCAGAAACCTCCTATGGCTTCCTGTCATCAACAAATTCCATTCAAGAAGAATGGGAAGGCTGGGCGTAGTGGCTCATGCCTGTAATCCCAGCACTTTGGGAGGCCGAGGTGGGCGGATTACTTGAGGTCAGGAGTTCGAGACTAGCCTGGTCAACATGGTGAAACCCCATCTCTACTAAAAAATACAAAATAGCCAGGCATGGTGTTGCATACCTGTAATCCCAGCTATACATAAGGCTGAGGGAGGAGAATCGCTTGAACCCGGGAGGTGGAGGTTGCAATGAGCCAAGAACACATCACTGCACTCCAGCCTGGGCGACAGAGGGAGACTCTATCTCAAGGAAAAAAAAAAAAGAATAGGAATGGTAACAGGACTGCCCTCTTAAGAGTGAGTCTGAGCACTCATGAGATAAGCTAGTGTTCTCTCAATTTGGGCATGAGAAAAGGTTTTAGGTTATTTTTTTTTTTTTTGAGACGGAGTCTTGCTCTGTCGCCCAGGCTGGAGTGCAGTGGCACGATCTCGGCTCACTGCAAGCTCCGCCTCCCAGGTTCACGCCATTCTCCCGCCTCAGCCTCCTGAGTAGCTGGGACTACAGGCACCCGCCACCACGCCTGGCTAATTTTTTGTATTTTTAGTAGAGACGGGGTGTCACCGTGTTAGCCAGGATGGTCTCGATCTCCTGAACTCATGATCCACCTGCCTCCGCCTCCCAAAGTGCTGGGATTACAGGCGTGAGCCACGGCGCCCGGCCTTAGGTGGTTCCTAAATAATTATATATCTATTTTTATACAGTGACTTTGTCTTTGCCAAATGATACCAGTTTTCCATTCATGGTAGCAATTTGCTTCCTTCTCAGATAAATTTAAGAAAAAAAGTCCTAGACTCAAAGAATATGTTAAGCAAATAATAGGATAAGCGGCTTATAGATGTGGCAAAAACCCTGTAACCGGTCATGTGAATCAGTGAAGTCTGGGAAACCTCAAGCTGAGTCCTATCATGATCAGTAAGCTCAGCACACAGGAAGGACTTAAGAAGCATGAGCTTTACAATGCAATATATATTTAGTGGAAAAGGGAACGGGTTGGGGTGAAACAAAAAAAAAAGAAGGCTCTGGAAAAGGCTGAGAAGGAGATATACCCAGCCACAAGCAGCCAGGGAGCCAGGGGGCCTGGCAGGAGAGACAGGAGATGGGGAGGGGCACAGAGTGGGAGGAAGCACCTTCTGAAGCTTTGGCTTGCTTGCTGATATACTCCTCAATCTTCATCATAATCTCAGCAAACTGTAGGAAAGGAGAAGACAGTCAGAATCCAGCACTCTTCAAAAAGAAGCCTGTATCACCCCCTTCTGGGAGATTCTGTCTAGAGCCCCCTGCTAGGAACACCTCTTGTCCTCTTACCATCTTACTATCCCATAGCTTGGCGATGGTCTTGACTGAATCCCCGGAAAGATCCAGCTGTGTCTCCTCCTGCACATCCTCGATCGCTGGCTCCTCTTCTTCCTCCCCATAGCTTCCTCCTTCCTCCTCTTCTGCTGCCTCTTCGAGATCAGCTAAGAGCTCATCTGCCAGAGACATCCCGAGGCCTGGGGAGGGACAGCAGCGTTCCCTAAAAACTTGCCCCGACAAAGTCCCTCCTTATTACTGAGCGATGATTCTCCCCCAGAAGACCCTGGTCCTTCTTTATCAACCCCACTAGCATGCAGGCTCCACGACAACAGGTGCTTTAGTTTGTTTTGTTCACTGGCGAGTCTCCAGCTCCGACCTGTGCAAGACGCAGCACACCCCTATGACCGCCACCTTGCTAAGACTTACTGGAACCAAGTGGTGTAGATTCCAAATGCATTTGCAAACTTTCTTATTCCTTTCTTGCCTTTAGCCTTGAAAACATACTTTGAAATTCTTTGTTTCCCTCCTTTCCCACTAGATACTGTCTTGCACTGCTGGCTTATCTATGTGCTTACTTAGAAGTTCCAGGGGCTAATCTTTATTTATTTATTTTTTAAAGATGGAGTCTGGCTCTGACACCCAGGTTGGAGTGCAGTGGCGCAGTCTTGGCTCACTTGCAACCTCCACCTCCTGGGTTCAAGCGATTCTCCTGCCTCAGCCTCCTGAGTAGCTGGGACTACAGGCACCTGCCACCATGCCCAGCTAATTTTTTTTTTTTTTTTTTGTAGAGTCAAGGTTTCACTATGTAAGCCAGGCTGGTCTTGAACTCTTGACCTCAAGTGAGCGACCCACCTTGGCCTCCCAAACTGTTGGGATTACAGGCGTAAGCCACCGCGCCTCGCCGCAGGGGCTAATCTTGAAACAAACTAGGTATGGAAACCCAGCTGCAAAACTCCAGAGATCACCTCAAGGCGATCAATCTACAACGTGGCCATTGTTGACTTGACACCAGCCCATGCTCCAGGTGGCCCGTGACTCAAGACAGCCTTCGGAGCAAGACACACATACCTTGTACCCAGCACCACTCCTGTATGCCTCCCATTCAAAGTTCCCCTTTTTAAGCCCCTCTCCCCAGCCTAAAGCTTGAAATGGTCTTCTAAAGACATTAGCTTGGCCATTTCTCATCTGCGAGCATTTGATCAGTAAAGCTGCTTTACTTTCACCACCCCCCACTTCCTCTGCCTCTGAGTAGCAGAAACTTGAGTTGGTTACATTATCGGTCTCTTCCCGCCTCCAGGTCTTTGTACAGGAGTCCCTTGTAACTAAAGTGGCCCTTTCCTTCACTTTGTTTTTTCTTTTCTTTTCTTTTTTTTGAGACCATGTCTTGCTCTGTCACCTAGGCTGCAGTGCAGTGGCGCCATCATAGCTCACGGCAGCCTCGATCACCTGGGCTCAAGCGATTCTCCCGCCTCAGCCTCCCGATAGCTGAGATGACAGGCACGCACCAGCACGCCCGGCTAATTTTTAAATTTTTCTGTAGAGACAGGGTCTCACTGTGTTGCTCAGGCTGGTCTCAAACTCCTGGGCTCAAGCGATCCTTTCGCCTGGGCCACCCAAAGTGCTGGGATTACAGGAGTGAGCCATGGCGTCTGGCTCTCCTCACTTCTTAGTAGCCCAGCATCTCCTCAGCCTTCAGCTCTCACGTTCCACCTCCCTGACCCACACGCCCCACTCTAGACTACAGGAGGTTGCTTTGTGATAACGTGTCCCGCACGCTCTGCGTGTCTACAGTAAGGCACTTCACACATTTGTGATTAATGAAGTAATTATTTGATAAAGCCTGTCTGCCAGGCATCAACCAAAGCTCTAAGAGGGTAGCGAACAATTTTTGCTCCTTCCACATCCCCAGGGCCACACCATGGTAGGCGCATATTAAGACTTTTGGGTAAACAGGCTGTAAAAGGCCGGGAGCGGTGGCTCATGCCTGTAATCCCAGCACTTTGGGAGGCCCAGGCGGGTGGATCATCTGAGGTCAGGAGTTGGAGACCAGCCTGGCCAACATAGTGAAACCCCGTCTCTACTAAAAATACAAAAAACTAGCCGGGCGTGGTGGTGCGCGCCTGTAATCCCAGCTACTCGGGAGGCTGAGGCAGGAGAATCGCTTGAATCCGGGAGGCGGAGGTTGCAGTGAACCGAGATCGCGCCACTGCACTCCAGCCTGGGCAACAAGAGCGAAACTCCGTCTCAGACAAAACAAACAAACAACTGGCCAGGCGCGGTGGATCATGCCTGTAATCACAGCACTTTGGGAGGCCGAGGCGGGCGGATCACGAGATCAGGAGTTCGAGACCAGCCTGACCAACATGGGGAAACCCCGTCTCTACTAAAAATACAAAAATTAGTCAGGGGTGGTGGCGGGCGCCTGTAATCCCAGCTACTCTGGAGGCTGAGGCAGAAGAATCGTTTGAACCCGGGAGACGGAGGTTGCAATGAGCCGAGATCGCGCCACTGCTCTCCAACCTGGGCAACAGAACGAGACTCCGTCTCAAAACAAACAAACAACAAAAAAACAAAAACCAAGCTGTAAAGACCCGCCTTTTTCCTCACACACTTCTTCTCCCAGACCCAGGAGCCCAGCCTCCCGCTCCCCGTGGTCTCCATCACACTCACCTCTCCTCTCCGCGCACCACTGTTTCTAGCGTTAGTCGCTCACCGATGACGTCTCACTCTCGCGCCGTTATAGAGGCAAAGCTACTCTCTGATTGGTCCCCGCTCGCGATGTTCCTGGCCGCATTTGAAACAACAACTTTATTAGCACCTGGCACTAGGCGGAGAGAGGCGGTAAGCCGCGAGGAGGAAAGGGACTCACGTCCCGCTGTGGACCGATCCTGCTAAGCAGAGAATCGCTGTGGCCGGACGACGGGGCGTCGAGACAAGAAGAAAGACGTTGGCAACTCAGAGGACTGGTTGCGGCGTTAGACAAGAAAGCAAGGCCTTTAAGCAGGGATTCGGGGTGGACGTGGGGGTGGGCCGAAGCGAAGCCGGAAACAGGAAACTACAACTCCCACAAGGCCTAGGGCCACGTCCCGCCGTCCTCGGCTGCTGAGCCTGATGGGACAAGTAGTTTTGCGAACGGCTTAACCTACAGATTGAAGAGGTCGGAAGCTCTGAGGCCCGGGGCTTCCGGAGGTCGCGGAGATGGAATTGGAGCAGAGAGAAGGGTATGTGGCTGAGCCCTTGTGAAAAAGTGCGAATCCCAGAAAACAGTGCAGCTGCATTGTGTGCAACCATATGAGCTTTTACGCTGAGGTCTGATGGGGGTTGTAGTTCATGCAACTGCTTTACCTTAGAACCCTTTTATGGACTGGGGTCATCCTGAGGGAGGAGAAGGTTAGGGGTTTGGACTGCTGGATCTGACAGACTAGGAGGTTGGAAGCCAGGACTCTTGCGTCTGGTTGAGGGTTGGGGCTTGGACTCCCTGGGTCCTTGGAGAGAAAAAGTCTGGAGGTCTGGACTCTTGCATCCTGGGAGGAGGGGGTCAGGGCTTGAACCCTGTGGGTGCTGCGAAGGGTGGGTTGCGGACTTGGACTTCTGGGTCTGAGGGAGGAGGGCTGGGAGCTGGATTCTACGGTCTGAGGGAGGAGGGGCTGGGGGCCTGGATTCTAGGATCTCAGGGAGGAGGGGTTGGGGTCTGGGCTCCTGGTTCAGTGGGAGAAGGGGCTGGGGGTCCAGGATCCAGGGCCCCTGAGCCTTTCCCTGCCTCTCAGGACCATGGCAGCCGTGGGCTTTGAGGAGTTCTCAGCGCCGCCAGGCTCAGAGTTGGCGTTGCCTCCCCTATTTGGTGGCCACATCCTGGAGAGCGAGCTGGAGACGGAAGTGGAGTTTGTGTCAGGTGGTCTGGGCGGCTCAGGGCTCCGGGAGCGAGATGAAGAGGAAGAGGCAGCCCGGGGTCGGCGGCGGCGCCAGCGGGAATTAAATCGCAGAAAGTACCAGGCACTAGGTCGGCGCTGCCGGGAGATCGAGCAGGTAGGTGAGTGCGGATCCCCCGGTTTTGGGGTCCCCTGGCCTAAACTACCGCCCCCCGCAATCTCTGCCTTTCCACATGCCCAGCCTTTCTTGGCTTGCTGATATATTCAGTCATTTAGCTTATATATTCAGTCATTTAGCATGCATTATGTGTCTGGCCCTGTGCCGGGCCCCTGGAAGGGCCATCTCCCGTGGAGCTTCCCTGACAACGCAGATGGGTTCTCTGATGTCTCCCGGGGGCCTCTCAATGCGTGGCACCGCTCACAGGTGAAAGCCCAAGCTCTTCACATCTCCCATACCCCTGCCAGGATTCACTCCTCTCGACTCATTCATTCCGCCTCTTGAGTGTCTCTGGACCCTTCTCCTCTCCTCCATCCCTATGGCTGCCATTGCAAACTCCAGCTGTCTGGGCTGAATGACTGCAATAGCCTCCTTGCTGAGAATAAGGATGGGCTGGGCATGGTGGCTCACGCTTGTAATCCTAGCACTGGGAGGCTGAGGCAGGCGGATCACCTGAGGTTAGGAGTTCGAGACCAGCCTGGCCAACATGGTGAAACCCCATCTCTACTAAAATACAAAAAAATTAGCCAGGTGTGGTGGTGCGCACCTGTAGTCGCAGCTACTAGGGAGGCTGAGGCATGAGAATTGCTTGAACCCGGAAGGCGGAGGTTGCAGTGAGCCAAGATCATGCTGCTGTACTCCAGCCTGGGTGACAGAGTGAGACTCCGTCTCAAAATCAATCAATCAATCAATGAGGATTAAACAGCAGGCAGGGCTCAGATCTTGGCAGGCCAGGAACACCAGGACAAGAAGTCTGGATATTTTTTTTTCCTTGAGAGTGAAGGAGCCACTGAAGGGTTTCAAATGGGGGAGGAACAGCATCAGGTCTGGATGCCTGAAACTCTGAAGACAGTTGTATTAGTCTGCTTGGACTCCCAGAACTTATCACAAATAGGGTCCCTCAAGCACAGAAATTCCTGTCTGACAGTTCTGGAGGCTAGACATCCAAGGCAAGGTGTCGACAGGGTTGTGAGAATCTTCCAGGCCTCTCCCCTGGCTTCTGGAGGTTTCTGGCAGTCATTGGCACGTACAAACATCACCCTGATCTCCGCCTTCATCTTCACATTGCTGCTCCCTGTGTGTGTGTCTGTGTCCCAATTTACCCTTTTTATAAGGACTCCAGTCATACTGGATTAGGGCCCACCCACTGGCTTCATTTGAACTTGATTACTTTTGTAACGACACTGTCTCCATATAAGGTGATCCTGAGGTACTGGGGGTTAAAGCCTCAACACCCTCTTTTGGGGGAAATAATTCAACTTTTTTTTTTTTTTTTTTTTTTTTTTTGAGGTGGAGTCTCGCTCTTGTCTCCCAGGCTGGAGTGCAATGGCACCATCTCAGCTCACTGTAACCTCCACCTCCTGGGTTCAAGTGATTCTCCTGACTCAGCCTCCCTAGTAGCTGGGATTACAGGCGCCCGCCACCACACCCAGCTAATTTTTCTATTTTTAGTAGAGACAGGGTTTCACCATGTTGGTCAGGCTGGTCTCAAACTCCTGACCTCAGGTGATCTGCCCACCTCAGCCTCCCAAGGTGCTGGGATTACAGGCTTGAGCCACCACGCCTGGCCTTCAACTCTTTTTCTCTTTCTTGAGACAGGTTCTCACTTTGTCACCAAAGCTGGAGTGCAGTGGCGCAATCTCAGCTCATTGCAGCCTCAGTCTCCCAGGTTCAAGCAGTCCTCCTGCCTCAGCCCCCAAAATAGCTGGGACTACAGGCACACACCACCACACCTGGCTAATTTTTGTACTTTTTGTAGAGATGGGGTTTTGCCATGTTGCCCAGGCTGGTCTTGAACTCCTGACCTCAAGTGATCCACTCGCCTTGACCTCCCAAAATGCTAGGATTACAGGCATGAGCCACCACATCTGGCCTCAATTCTTAATGACAGTATTGGGGAGTTCTGTAAGGAGGAAGGCTAGAGGCCAGGGGCATATTCCAAACCCTGTTTAACAGACAGACACCAAGGCCCAAACGGACTCAACTGGAGCCTCTGCCATTAATCCACCCCCAGGAATAGATTACTACTATTTTACAAGTATAGAAAATCAAGGCTCAGAGAGGTTAAGTAATGCACCCAAGCTCAGAGCTCAGCAGTGGCAGATCTGAGATTTTTTTTTTTTTTTGAGACAGGGTCTTTCTCTGTTGCCCAGGCTGGAGTGCAGTGGCATGACTGTGGCTCACTGCAGCCCCAACATCCTGGACTCTAGCAATCTCAGCCTCCGAAGGAGCTGGGACTACAGCCACCAAGCCCAGCTAATTTTTTTGGTTAGTTTTTGAGTGTTGGGGTCTCACTCTGTTGCCCAGGCTGGTGTCGAACTCCTGGCCTCTCAAAGTGCTGGGATTATAGGCATGAGCCACTGTGCCAAGCCAGAGCCAAAACTTGAACTCTTTTTTTTTAGATGGATTTTCGCTCTTGTTGTCCAGGCTGGAGTGCAATGCTGCAATCTCAGCTCACTGCAACCTCCGCCTCCTGGGTTCAAGCGATTCTCCTGCCTCAGCCTCCCGAGTAGCTGGGATTACAGGCATGCGCCACTACACCTGGCTAATTTTGTATTTTTAGTAGAGACAGGGTTTCACCACGTTAGGCTGGTCTCAAACTCCTGACCTCAGGTGATCCGCTCGCCTTGGCCTCTGAAAGTGCTGGGATTACAAGCGTGAGCCACCGTGCCTGGCACTTTTTTTTTTTTTTTTCTTTTGAGACAGAGTCTTACTCTGTCACCCAGGCTGGAGGGCAGTGGTGTGATCTCGGCTCACTGCAACCTCCAGCTCCTGGGTTCAAGCGATTCTCCTGCCTCAGCCTCCTGAGAAACTGGGATTACAGGCATGCGCCACCATACCCAGCTAATTTTTGTATTTTTCTTTTTTTTTTTTTTTTTTTAGTAGAGATGAGGTCTCATCATGTTGGCCGGGCTGGTCTGGAACTCCCGACCTCAAACTCTTGAGTAGCTGAGATTACAGGCATGTGCCACAACATCCGGCCAATTTTTGTATCTTTAGTAGAGACGGGGTTTCACCATGTTGGCCAGGCTGGTCTTGAACTCCTGACCTCAAGTGATCTGCCCGCCCCGGCCTCCCAAAGTGCTGGGATTACAGGCGTGAGCCACTGTGCCCCGCCCGGAACTCAGGTCTTTCTGACCCAGGAGCAGCACCTGCTTCAGCCACTGTCTTTGGGTCCCTGTTTGGCTGAGTCACATCTCTCCCTCCATGTCTAGGCTGGAGTCCTCAGAAGCTGCGTGCAGGGCTGTCCCCTCAGCCTGGCATACTTTCCTCCTGTCACCCCTTTGTCTCCTCCTTATTCAAGTCTGGGCCCACGGGCCTTCTCTGCAGGTCGTAACTAAAGTCGCACCTCCTGCCCTAACCTCCAGCATGTCTGACTCTTTGGTATTCACCAAGCACTTCTCACTTTGCAAAGTCATTGATTCTGCAAATGTTCATGGAGGATGTACTACGTGCCAGGCTCTGGTTAAGGCACGGGATGTAGAAACAAGTTGCTGTCGTTTTTCAGCTCATGCTCTGGCTGGAGAGGCGGTCAGTCAGCAGAATAAGCAAAGAGGCGGAGAGGCTGCGTCCTGCCTCCTCAGATGAGCACTAGGAGGAAATAAAGCCAGGAGTGAATGGCCGGGTGGGGTTCTGGCATGGGAAGGGGGGTCGGGTGTGTTGCAATTTTTTTTTTTGAAACAGAACCTCGCTCTGTTGCCCAGGCTGGAGTGCAGTGGGGTGATCTCAACTCACTTCACCCCTCCACCTCCCAGGTTCGTGCGACTATCCTGCAGGCACCTGCCACCACGCCCAGCTAATTTTTTGTATTTTTAGTAGAGATGGGGTTTCATCATGTTGGCCAGGCTGGTCTCGAACTCCTGACCTCAGGGGACCTACTCGCCTCGGCCTCCCAAAGTGCTGGGATTACAGGCGTGAGCCACCGCACCTGGCCTGGTGTGTTTCGACTTAATGGGAGGTTCAGGCTCTCTGAGCAGGTAACAGTTGACCTAAGACTTGGAGTGGGGAGTAAGTTGTGCGGATGACTGGGGAGAGGGTCCAGGTAGAGGAACAGCACGCGGAAGGCCCCCACTGGAGGGCACTCAGGACTGTGGCATGGTGAGAGGGGAGCCGGAGGGATGGGAAGGTGGAAGGACCTCAGGCCACGGGATGGTCTTTGGCCAGTCTCCAGAGTTTAGTGCGTGCCCCATTAAACATCCGTTAAACAAATGAACGGGAGCCGTGGGATCCAGCTGATGGGCGTTTCCCACCCCATAGGTGAACGAGCGGGTCCTGAACAGGCTCCATCAGGTGCAGAGGATAACTCGGAGGCTGCAGCAGGAACGGAGGTAACCCCTTCTCCGTCCCCTCTGGGCCTGTGAGCCTCAGCTCCCAAATGCTCCCAGCCCCTCTGTCTCTCCCACTTCCACATCCACCCAACCCTCACAAGCCACAAGGAGAAGCCGGAGATGAGGGCCGGGGGCTGAGGCAAACAAGGAGGAAGAGTGGGATTCGGTGTTGGAGGAGAGGGCTGAGCACTGGGACTGAGGGAGGGCCGGGTGGAGAGGGCTGAGCACTGGGACTGAGGGAGGGCCGGGTGGAAGGGGCTGTGCGCTGGGACTGAGGGAGGGCCGGGTGGAGAGGGCTGAGCACTGGGACTGAGGGAGGGCCGGGTGGAGGGCCTCCTCCCCCTGAAGGGAGGGAACAGCAGGATGGAAGGCACACGAGCACAGACCTGACTGCAAGTATTTTCTTTTTTTTTTGCTGTGTGACTCTAAGCAAGCAGTGTCCCTTCTCTGAGCTGTTTCCTATCAACTAAGGGCAGCACCAATATCATGAGGCTGCGGCAGGGTTGTCGGAGCTTGCAGGTGGTGAGCTGAGCTCAGAGCTTCCCACTGTGTGTCTCCACAGAACCTGCCCAGGTGGCTGCTGCCCCTGCCACTCGCAGTGTCCCTGTACCAGCAAAACTGGAGCAAGTTTTGTAGGAATGGCTCCACGTTGCTGAGTCAACCACAGTTCTCATCTCAGTCCTTGGCTCAGGCTCGGCACAGTGGCCCAGGGCTATGTGCTCTTCCCTGGAGCCCATTCTTGCCATCCTGGGCACCCAGCAACCTGGGGTCTCCTGCCTTTCCGGCTGTTCCTTCTTGGCTGCCTTTGCTAGTTCATCCTCCCTCCCCAAAGCTGAAACCTGCGGCTCCCAGGGTTCCTCTGTCCGTACCTGTGCTGTCCAGCACGGTAGCCGCTGGCCACAGGTGAGATTTTCACTTAAGTTGAAATAGGCCGGGCGCAGTGGCTCATCATGCCTGTAATCCCAGCACTTTGGGAGGCCGAGGCAGGCGGATCACGAGGTCAGGAGATCGGGACCATCCTGGCTAACACGGTGAAACTCCGTCTCTACTAAAAATACAAAAAAATTAGCCGGGTGTAGTGGCAGGCGCCTGTAGTCCCAGCTACTCGGGAGGCTGAGGCAGGAGAATCGCTGGTACCAGGGAGGTGGAGGTTGTGGTGAGCCAAATTCACGCCACTGCACTCCAGCCTGGGTGACAGAGTGAGATTCCGTCGCAAAACAACAACAACAAACCTGCCCAGGTGCTGGTGCAGAGGAGGCATTCCATCAATTGAACCTTAAGGAACTCTGGAGGCAGGGGCTGGGGAAAAAAGAGAAGGGGGTGTTTATAAGAGGTGAGGTCATTAGGAGGAGCGTTCTGTACTCCCCTCTCTTCAGTTATCAATAAAAATTATAACTCACATATGAATGTTTACTAAGTGCTGACATCACATTAAGTACAGAAATCGTCTGGTGTCACTACTTCAGTGTCACCGCTGCAACATCCAGCCGAGGGTGTCATGTCGTTTGCAGAGCAGGAAACTCAGCCTCAGAATGGTTGCCTTGTCTTGCTCGAGGTCTCAAGGCTGGTCAAGGGCATGGCTCCCAGGCCTCCAGTGCCAGAGCTCAGGACCGTCTGGCTCCAGGACAGCTTTGGCGTTGAGTGGAGTGGGAGCTGAGCTCTATCCTGTGGCCCTTTTCCCCAGCCGCTAGGAGATAAGTTATTCCGTTGGTGGCTTCTCCCCCTGAGCAGGTTCCTCATGAGAGTGCTGGACTCCTACGGGGATGACTACCGGGCCAGCCAGTTCACCATTGTGCTGGAGGTGAGTGTTGGGCCTCCAGGAGGGTCAGGAACTGGGAGCTCAGGACCCACCCATCACCTACCTCCCCCTCCTGCCTGCCAGGATGAGGGCAGCCAGGGCACGGATGCCCCCACCCCAGGCAATGCGGAGAATGAGCCTCCAGAGAAAGAGACACTGTCCCCGCCCAGAAGGACTCCTGCACCCCCAGAACCCGGCAGCCCAGCCCCCGGTGAGGGGCCCAGTGGGCGGAAGAGGCGGCGAGTGCCACGGGATGGACGCCGAGCAGGAAATGCGCTGACTCCAGAGCTGGCCCCGGTGCAGGTGAGGAAGGCGGGAACTCAAGGGGAGGGACTGGGGCTCCAGAGCCGGCGCCAGTGCAGGTAAGGAGGGGGGACTCAAGGGGAGGGGCCAGGGCTGGGGCTGAGTTAGGTTCAGGGCTCTTGGGTTTTGGTTCTGCACCCCGAGGGGCCCAGGGCTGGGGAAAGTTGGAGAAGGGAGGTGAACCAGGACATGTTGGAGGCCTAGGATCAGGCAGGGAAGTAGTTGGAAAAAGTGGGGTAAAGGCTTGGGTAAAAAGGAGGCAAAGTTGGAAAGGGAAAGAGGAAGACCTGGAGAAGGAAAAATAGCTAGAGAAGGCTGGGAGTAGAGGAGAAGGAAGGATCAGAGAAGACGGAGTGGAAGGGAAGGCCCAGTGTGGGGAGGAAAGCTGGAAGAACATCTGGACCCAGGAACACTGGGATTGCCTCTGAGGTGTAAGGAGGAAGGTGACTGGCCTGGGCAGACAAGAACTGTGAGGCTGGCCAGGTGCAGTGGCTCATGCCTGTAATCCCGGCACTTTGGGAGGCCTAGGTGGGAGGATCACTTGAGGCCAGGAGTCTGAGACCTGCCTGAGCAACATACTGAGACCCCATCTCTACCAAAAAGAAAAAACATGTTAGGCTTGGTTGGCAAGTGCCTGTAGTCCCAGCTACTTGGGAAGCTGAGGTGGGAGGATCACTTGAGCCTGGGAGGCAGAGGCTGCAGTGAACTATGATGGCACCACTGCACTCCAGCCTGGGCAACAGAGTGAGACCCTGTCTCTTTAAAAAGCAAAACAAAATGAAAACAAAAATGGTGAAGCTGATGGGATTTTCTAGATTCCCAGGCCTGTTAACACCTTGTTCCTTATCTCCTGCAGATTAAGGTTGAGGAAGACTTTGGCTTTGAAGCAGATGAGGCCCTGGATTCCAGTTGGGTTTCTCGGGGTCCAGACAAACTGCTGCCCTACCCGACCCTGGCCAGCCCAGCCTCTGACTGACGCATGCCCAATAAACTGACCCCACACTCACCCCGGCCACCGTCTACTTGTTCCCACCTCTGATCACACACATGCTCACGTTCGGGGGTTGGTTTTCACATTTTTATTGGGAGCCGTGGGAGGGGCCGCCTCTGTCAGTGGAGGTGCTCACAGTTTCTTCAGCCACTCCAGGCTGGGGCCCTGAGGGTCCTGGGGGTGGCTGGGCACGTCGGGCATGTTCCCATCATCACGGACGGGCACTGTGGGGCAGGAGGTGGGCCACTGAGACCAGCACGTCTCCAGGGCCCTGGAGAGAAGAGCTGGTCTGTCGCTTTATGTTCAGAGAGGGAAGGGGGACCCCAGGGGTGAGAGGGGAAGGGTCAGAGAATCAGTGATGCAGAAAGAGGCGGGAAATACAGAGACTGAGAGACACGGAAAACCAGAGAGATAGCGAGGGAGAGATCCCGCGCACTAGAGAGCTAGGGTCAAAAGAGATGGGGAAACAGGACAGAAACCTGAGAAGATGGAGACCAAGAAACCACCACAGATGGGAACCCAGAGAGAGACAGAAATCTGGAAAGGTAATAGAAACTCGAAGCACAGGCCAGGCGCGGTGGCTCACACCTGTAATCCCAGCACTTTGGGAGGCCGAGGTGAGTGGATCACAAGGTCAGGAGATCGAGACAATCCTGGCTAACACGGTGAAACCCCGCCTCTACTAAAAAAATACGAAAAAGTTTGCGTGTCGTGGTGGCGGGCACCTGTAGTCCCAGCTACTCGGGAGGCTGAGCTTGCAGTGAGCTGAGATCGCGCCACTGCACTCCAGCCTTGGCGACAGAGCGAGACTCTGTCTCAAAAAAACCCAAAAAAACAAAAACGAAGCACAAACACAGAATAGTATACGAATTATATCTCAATTCTTAAAAAATGGAACGGGGGGTCCGGGCACCACTGCAGAATCTCTGATAACTGCTTAGGAAAGACCTGCCCATAACTGCCCTTACGCCAGCACAGGGAGGCTGGGCCTATTCCGGGGATCCCTGCCTGGCCCCCACTCACCTGGGTAGTTGTAGGGCGTGGCCTTGTTGATCATGACGGAGTACTTGAAGTAGGGGCTCAATGGGGGCAGAATTACAGCTGTGGAGAGACACAGGGGTGAGGCCCAGGGGAAGGTGGCTCTGAAGAGAGGGGAAGAGAAGGTGAGCCTTGGCAAAGGGAAGATAAAGTGCGCAGGGGGAGGGCAGCAGGGAGGGCCAGCACGTCCAGGAGGATCCTTGGTACCTTGGGATCCCTACTTATAGACAGGAGGGTTTAAAACTCTTTTTTGGGGGGTTAAGTGGAGGTAGGGGTTGGAGCCTAACACTCACAGATACGTGGGGCCTGGAGGAGGCAGCAGTGGGGTTGGTCATGGAATGAGCACGTTTGAGTGTAGGGTCATCATGGAGCATCCTGGGGGTAGTGTCATGGGACTGTTCTGGAGAAATCAAGACTGTTACAAATTTGGCCGGGCACAGTGGCTCAAGCCTGTAATCCCAGCACTTTGGGCGGCCAATGTGGGCGGATCACCTGAGGTCAGGAGTTCGCGACCAGCCTGGACAACATGATGAAACCCCATCTCTACTAAAGATACGAAAATTAGCCGGGCGTGGTGGCAGGAGCCTGTAATCCCAGCTACTCAGGAGGCTGAGGCAGAAGAATCCCTTGAGCCTGGGAGGCAGAGGTTGCAGTGAGCCCAGATTGTGCCATTGCACTCCAGCCTGGGCAACAGAGAGAGACTCCATCACCAAAAAAAAAAAAAAAAAAAAGCCTTACAAACTGGAGGAGAAAGGGTTGCACAAACAACAGTCACTGACCACAGTCCATTTAGGGTGGGAGCCAGGAGTCCTGGGGGATGGGGTACAGTTCATAAAAGGAATGTTCTAGGCCAGTGCTGTCTGACAGATGGTAAGAGCCAGGTATATAATTTTATATCTTCTAGTAGCTACAGTAAAAATAAGAGATACAGATGAAACAAATTTTAAGAAACATACTTGGATGGGCGAGGTGGCTCATGCCTATAATCCCAGGACTTTAGGAGGCTGAGACGGGTGGATCACCTGAGGTCAGGAGTTCGAGACCAGCCTGACCAATATGATGAAACCCCGTCTCTACTGAAAATACAAAAACAGCCAGGTGTAGTGGCATGCGCCTGTAATCCCAGCTACTAAGGAGGCTGAGACAGGAGAATCGCTTGAACCCGGGAGGCGGAGGTTGCAGTGAGCCGAGATCAGGCCATTGCACTCTAGCCTGGACAAAAGCGAAACTCCGTCTCAAAAAAACAAAAACAAACAAACAAAAAAAACCATAGTACATCCAAAACATCACTTCGCCATGTAATCAACAAAAGATTATTGGTAGTTTACACACTCTGTTATACTAAGTTTTTGAAATCCAGTGTCTTATACCACCTCAATTCATACCAGCACCACTTCAAATGCTCAGTGGCCAGTTGTGGCTGGTGGCTGCCATACTGAATAAGTGTTCAGAACCTTAACCTAGTGCCTGGCTGGTGGACCAGCAGTACTGACAAGACCTGGGAACTCTTCAAAAATGCAGAATCCCATGCCCCACCCCAGACCTACAGAATCAGAACCTACAGTTTGGCCGGGCGCAGTGGCTCACCCCTGTAATCCCAGCACTTTGGGAAGGCAGATCACTTGCGGTCAGGAGTTCAAGACCAGCCTGGCCAACATGGTGAAACCTTGTCTCTACTAAAAATACAAAAATTAGCCGGGCGTGGTGGTGCTCGCCTGTAATCCCAGCTACTTGGGAGGCGGAGGCAGGAGAATCACTTGAACCCTAGAGGCGGAGGTTGCAGTGAGCCATGATCAAACCATTGCACTGTAGCCTGGAAGACAGAGCGAGACGCCATCTCAAAAAAAAAAAAAAAAAAAAGCTGGCCGGGCGCGGTGGCTCACGCCTGTAATCCCAGCACTTTGGGAGACCGAGTTGGGAGGATCACGAGGTTAGGAGATCGAGACCATCCTGGCTAACACGGTGAAACCCCGTCTCTATTGAACATACAAAAAATTAGCCGGGCATGGGGGCGGGCGCCTGTAGTCCCAGCTACTCGGGAGGCTGAGGCAGGAGAATGGCGTGAACCCGGAAGGCGGGGCTTGCACTGAACCGAGATCGCGCCACTGCACTCCAGCCTGGGCGACAGAGCGAGACTCAGTCTCAAAAACAAAAACAAAAAATTAGCTGGGCGCCTGTAATCCCAGCTACTCGGGAGGCTGAGGCAGGAGAATCCCTTGAACCCAGGAGGCCGAGGTTGCAGTGAGCCGGGATCGCGCCACTGCACTTCAGCCTGGGTGAGAGTGAGACTCCATCGCAAAAAAAAAAGCTACATTTTAACAATCCCCCGCCCCCATCCCTGCAGGAACTCCGGTGCTAATTAAAGTGTGAGTAGGGCAGTTCCAGGGCAGAGGGCAGAGATTTTCAATCAGCAAGGCACATTGGGATCATACGGGGATTTTCACAAGACACAGATTCCCCAGTCCCACCTCCACCCAAGCCAACTCAATTCAGAATGGGGGAGAGGAAAGATGAAAAGGAGGAGGAGGATCTGGACTTTTTTTTGGTGCTCAGGTGTTAAGGCATAAGCAGGGTTGAGAACGTCTCATTTAGAGGGGTTAAGAGCGTATTGGGTAGGTGGAGAGGAACGCGGGGGGCGATGGTGGAGAGGTTATAATGGGTATGGGGATAGATAAGGGGATGCCGTGGGGGTGCAGACACACTAGAGGGGACCCGAGGGCGGCGATAGGGCTTTAGGGGTACAAGATGGAGGGATGTAGGGGGACGGGGGTGGACGATGCAAGTTTGCGCCTGGAGCACTCACGCACCGAGGCCCCCGACGACGAAGGACACGACCAGCACTGGCTCCTTGTCCCAGGCATTCTTGAGGAAGGCGCCGACTCCTGAAGGGGTGGCAAGAAGCGTCACCCCTGCAAGTAGCTGCCCCCGGTGACCTCTAACCCTCTCGTGCCACCCCTGCCCTGGAGGAGCCCCCTCGTGACTTCTGCGTTCCCCTCCAGCACGGACCCCATCGCTTCCACCCCTGCCCTGCCGCACCTCAGTCCCAGGACCGCCCAGAGGTTCCCAGAACTACCCGAGCCCCGTGCGCCACCGGAACCTGCACTTACTCGCAGCCATCTTTGTCTCCGCGGCGGCGACAGCGGCGAGGACGCGGAGCACCCTGGGAGTTGTGGTCCCTATGCGCGAGAACCCGCTCCCAGGGCTGCGCGTGCGCCCTGGAGCACAAGTAGAGGCGAAAGCAAGGACGCGGAGCACTCTGGGAGTTGTGGTCCCTCTGTGCGACGGCCCGCTTTCGGAGCCTGCGCGTGCGCACTCGCGCAGAACAAAGATGGAGCCGTGGAGGTAAAGGAAGTGGTGTCAGGAGCAAGCGCAAGCCTGACTTTGCGGACCTGCGTGGAATCTCCTTAGTCTCAGCCTAGAAGTCGCTCCGGAGTGACTAGTCCTCCTGCTGCGACCCACCTAAGGCGGAACAAAATAGTCCCCATTTTATAGTTTATGTATGAAAGCCCATTTTACAGACGAAGAAACTGAGCCCGGGAGAAGGTGAATGACTAACCTGTCCTTCGAGGTCTCAGCTCAACATCGGCTCGTCCTGGAAGCGCTAGGTCTCATCCCAGATGGGTTAGGAGCTTTCTGCGGGCTCTCACAGTGCTCTGTTACCGCCATTATAGCTCAGATCACTTAAGAAACTGACCTGGTCTGGGCCGGGCGCGGTGGCTCACGCCTGTAATCCCAGCACTTTGGGAGGCCGAGGCGGGCGGATCACGAGGTCAGGAGATCTAGACCATCCTGGCTAACATGGTGAAACCCTGTCTCTACTTAAAAATACAACACAAATTAGCCGGGCGTGGTGGTGGGCGCCCGTAGTCCCAGCTACTGGGGAGGCTAAGGCAGGAGAATGGCGTGAACCCGGGAGGCGGAGCTTGCAGTGAGCCGAGATCACACCACTGCACTCCAGCCTGGGCGACAGAGCGAGACTCCGTCTCAAAAAAAAAGGAAACTGACCTGGTCTTGGTCTTTCAGTCGGACTGGTAGCTGCTGCTTGAGAGCAGTAACGGAGTCTGAGTTCCCTCTGTGCCTGCCAACATGGCACAGCGAGGGTCTGGCACGTAATAGGTTCTAATTTTTTTTTTTTTCTTCTGAGATTGAGTCTAGCTCTGTCGCCCAGGCTGGAGTGCAATGGCGCGATCTCGGCTCACAGCAACCTCCGACTCCCGAGTTCAAGCGATTCTCCTGCCTCAGCCTCCTGAATAGCTGGGATTACAGGCGCGCGCCTCCACAGCCGGCTAATTTTTCTTTTTTAGGAGAGACGGGGGTTTCTCCATGTTGGTCAGGCTGGTCTCGAACTTCCCGATCTCAGGTGATCCACCCGCCTTGGCCTCCCAAAGTGCTGGGATTACAGGCGTGAACAACCGCGCCCGGCCTAGAGGGGCTAATTTTTATCTATCTATCTATCTATCTATCTATCTATCTATCTATCTAACACAGTATCACACCAAGAGCCTGGCACATAATAGGTGCTAATTTTTCTCTGTCAACCAATCTATCAATCGATCAATTAATCACAGCAAGGGCCTGGCACATAATTGGTGTTAATTTTTATCTATCCATCAATCAATCACAGCAAGGGCCTGGCACTTAACAGGTGCTAATTTTTATCTATCTATCTATCTATCTATCTATCTATCCATCCATCCATCTATCTATCTTTCAATCACAGCAAGGGCCTGGCACATAATAGGTGCAAATTTTTATCTATCTGTCAATCAATGACAGCAAGAGTCTGGCACATAATAGGTTCTTATTTTTAAAACAGACAGATATCTTTCTATCTGTCTATCTATATTTAAAGACATGGTCTCACTCTATCACCCAGGCTGGAGTGCAGTGGCACAATTTATTTATTTTTTAGACAGGGTCTCGCTCTGTTGCCCAGGCTGCTCTTGAACTCTTGGGCTCAAGCGATCCTCCTGCCTCCACCTCCTGACTAGTATTTGTTTCTAGAGTTAAATAAATGAACACCACAGGTTATGACTGAACCCCCTGCTAATTTTTCCACAGTGCCATAGGGCTATGACACAGTCACCCACAGGCCCCCACCTCGATACTCTCTTCCGTAAATGAGGATCTGGGTCTGGTTTTCTGATGTTGCCTCATTTCCTGGGAGGGGAGAGGGTGCGACCAAGCCCTGGCTCCAGCTCTAGCGGGTATCTGCCCACCATGGCCCTGGTGCTGATCCTCCAGCTGCTGACCCTCTGTGAGTCACCCCTTTCTTCTCCCTGGGTTCCTGGCTGGGGTTGGGGGCAGAGAGAGAGGCAATGGAGACCCAGACACCCTGCAGGGGGACCAGGCAGCAGGTTTGGGATTCTAGGTTCAAATAAAGAACAGGGCTGGGGCCCAGACCCCTGGGTCCTAAAGCAAGAGAACACAGATTCCCGAAAGAGGAAGGAGGTGGGGACAGGTATCTCTGGTTCTTGAGGCAGGAAGAGGTCAGGAGACAGGGAGGACTCCCAGATTCTTATATGGGAGGGGGATGGAAGCCAGGACTCCTGATTCCCTGGGAAAAGGGGGCTGGGAACAGGGCTCTTAGCTCCTGAGAGAAGAGGGAAATGGGGACCCAGATTCCTGAACTCGTGAGAGGAGAAACTCTACGATCATTGTTCCCTGGAAAGGTGGAGTTCAAGGGCCTGAACTCTTGGTTGCCCAGGCCAGAGGGGTCTGCGTTCAGACTTCTTCGGTAGGTGGGCAATGGATGTCCAAATTTCTGCCTACTGAGACAGGAGGAGGGAGGGATAAGATTCTCATTTCCCAGAGGAGATAGGAGCTGGGAACTCAGATTCCTGGGTTACCAATGAGATGGGGCTGGCCACAAAGGGTTTTGAAAAGAACTCGCTGTTGGGCGCAGCGGCTCATGCCTGTGGGAGCCGAGGCCCAGCACTTTGGGAGGCCGAGGCGGGTGGATCACCTGAGGACAGGAGTTCAAGACCAGCCTGACCAACATGGCGAAACCCCTCTCTACTAAAAATACAAAGATTAGCCTGGTGTGGTGGCGGGCACTTGTAGTCCCAGCTACTACGGAGGCTGAGGCAGGAGAATCACTTGAACCTGGGAGGCAGAGGTTGCAGTGAGCTGAGATCACACCACTACACTCCAGCCTGGGCGACAGAGTGAGAGTCTGCCTCAGACAAAAAAAAAAAAAGGAAAAAGAAACTAGTCCCTCAACCTCCTACAGGGCCTCTGTGTCACACAGACATCACTCCGTCTGGTGAGTAGCCACCCCATCCACTCTCCTTTTGTTGCTGACACCCCTTTTCCAATTACTCAGATTTTATTTTGGTGCCCAATCCCATCCCAGATATCCTTATTTTCCTCCCTCCCTCCATTCCTTCCTTCTTTTCTCATTCCCCTTAGTGGCCATTATAGGTGAGTACTGAAGACCAGGAACTTCTGAGGCAGAGGCCTAAGCTAGGACCTCAGTTTCACCATCGTATTCATTTATATGTGACCATATGACCTAGAACAAGTCACAGCTTGCTAAGACTCCATTTCCTTCTCTGTAAAATGGGCCGCTGTGAGATCTCATCAAATCACATGTGCAAAACCCTGAGCCTGGCACAGTACAGGGCTTAAGAAATAGGATCTTGGGCTGGGCGCAATGGCCAACGTCTGTAATCCCAGCACTTTGGGAGGCAGAGGCGGGCGGATCACAAGGTCAGATCGAGATCATCCTGGCTAATGTGGTGAAACCCCGTCTCTACTAAAAAAAAAAAAAAAAAAAAAAAAAAATTAGCCGGGTGTGGTGGGACGCACCTGTAATCCCAGCTACTCAGGAGGCTGAGGCAAGAGAATCGCTTGAACCCAGGAGGCAGAGGTTGCAGTAAGCTGAGATCGCGCCACTGCACTCCAGCCTGGGTGACAGTGCAAGACTCCACTTCAAAAACAAACAAACAAACAAACAAACAAAAACTCTTTTGGAGATATTTCAGTGTCGCTATAGCTATCTCTACCTATTTATTTTATTTATTTATTTATTTATTTTGAGACCAGTTTCTCTCTGTCGCCCAGGCCGGAGTGCAGTGGTGCAATCTCGGCTCACTGCAACCACCTCCTGGGTTCAAGGGATTCTCCTGCCTCAGCCTCCTGAGTAGCTGGGACTACAGGCACACACCACAATGCCCGGATAATTTTTGTATTTTTAGTAGAGACAGGGTTTCCCCATGTTGGTCAGGCTGGTCTGGAACTCCTGACCTCAGGTGATCCCTCTGCCTCAGCCTCCCAAAGTGTTGGGATTACAAACATGAGCCCCCTCACCCGACCCTTATTTTTATTCATTTTTAGAGATGGGGTCTCATTGTGTCACCCGGGCTGGAGTACGGTGGCTCTATCATAGCTCACTGCAGCTTTGAATTCCTGGGCTCAGACAATCCTCCAGCCTCAGCCTCCCAAAGTGCATGCCACCATGGAGTTCTCACTCTGTTGCCCAGGCTGGAGTGCAGTGGCATGATCTCAGCTAACTGCAGCCTCCGACTCTAGGGTTCAAGTAATTCTCCTACTCAGCATCCCAAACAGCTGGAACTACAAGCTAGCACTACCACGCCTGGCTAATTTTTCTGTTTTTAGTAGAGATGGGATTTTACCATGTTGGTCAGGCTGGTCTTGAACTCCTGACCTCAGGTGATGCACCCACCTTGGCCTCCCAAAGTGCTGGGATTACAGCTGTGAGCCACCGGACCCAACAGCCTTCCTGTACTCTTAATTTGTGTGATTTGTGAATAAGTGATATCTGCCAGTACTATCATTTGTCCTCCAGTTTTGTCTTTTAGCATACACAACTTAAGAAATTTGAAGTGGTCAAATTAATTAATCTTCCATACAACTTTTTATTTTATATTTTAAGAAGCCTTCCTTACCCCAAGACAAATATATTTTCCTATAGTTTTTTGAATACTTTTATAGTTTAAAAAAAAAGAAACACAGGGTCTTTAATTAATCTGGAAGTTGTTTTGGGAAATGGTATGAGGTAGGGATCCAACATTTTTCTTTTCCAAATAGCAAGTTTTGGCAACTCTTGAAATACTATATTGCAAATATTCTGGAAAGCTATTTAAAATTAGAGTTCTGGCTGGGCGTGGTGGCTCACACCTGTAATCCCAGCACTTTGGGAGGCCGAGGTGGGAGGATTGCTCGAGCCCAAGAGTTCAAGAGTAGCCTGGGCAATATAGCGAATGCTCGTCTCTACTAAAAATTAAAAAAAAAAAATTAGCCTGGTGTAGTGGCATGTGCCTGTGGTCCCAGGTACTCAGGAGGCTGAGGTGGAGGACTGTTTGAGCCCAAGAGATTGAGGCTGCAGTGAGTTGAGAACATGCCACTGCACTCCTGCCTGAGCAACACAGCAAGACCCTGCCTCAAAAAAAAAAAAAAAAAAAAAAAAAGTCTGGGTGTGGTGGCACAAGCTTGTAAACTTAGCACTTTGGGAGGCCGAGGTGGGAGGATTGCTTGAGGCCAGTAGTTTAAGACCAACCTGCTCAACATAGGGAGACCGCCCCCTCCCATCTCATTACTTAAAAATAATAATAATAATAAAATTACAGAGTTCTGGGACCTGACCTTTTGAAACTGTGTTTACAAACTGTGGAGTAAAGCTCAGAAGTTTCTGTCCTGCCCCTCTGATTTGCACCTGGTTTTAACAAGGCTTGATTGTAGTCCAGTCTCTCCCTGATTTTACAAACAGGAAACTGAGGCTAAGAAAGGGGCAGTAATTGTCCAAGGTGATTTTCCTCCTTCCCCAACTTCCCTTTCATCTTCTGGGGCTCCCAGGAGGCCCGAGGACCCAGGCAGCCCCGTTTATTCAGTCCCCCCAGCTTCATACCACCCTAAGCCATGGCTGGGAGCTCAGCCGGCTACAGTTGTGACCCCTGGGGTCAACGTGACCTTGAGATGCCGGGCACCCCAACCCGCTTGGAGATTTGGACTTTTCAAGCCTGGAGAGATCGCTCCCCTTCTCTTCCGGGATGTGTCCTCCGAGCTGGCAGAATTCTTTCTGGAGGAGGTGACTCCAGCCCAAGGGGGAATTTACCGCTGCTGCTACCGAAGGCCAGACTGGGGGCCGGGTGTCTGGTCCCAGCCCAGCGATGTCCTGGAGCTGCTGGTGACAGGTGAGGTCCTGGGGTCGGGGAGGAGAAGTGGGTGGAACAAGGGAGTTGGGGGAGGGACAGAGAGATATAGGGAAAGAGAGACAGAGCGAGGCGGGCAAACAGATTCACAGACACAAGAAAAGACAGATACAGAGACACTAGGGGGAGAGAGAGAGACAGGGGAGCAGAGAGAGAGAGACAGGGGAGCAGAGAGAGAGAGAGGTACAGTGCGGGGGGAGAGAGAGAGAAAGAGGCAGAAGGAGAAAGGGAGGCAGAGAGAGAGGGAGGCAGAGAGAGAGGGAGGCAGAAAGAGAGGGAGGCAGAGAGAGAGGCAGGCAGAGAGAGAGGCAGGCAGAGAGAGAGGGAGGCAGAGAGAGAGGGAGGCAGAGAGAGAGGGAGGCAGAGAGAGAGGGAGGCAGAGAGAGAGGGAGGCAGAGAGAGGGAGGCAGAGAGAGAGGCAGGCAAAGAGAGAGGCAGGCAGAGAGAGAGGGAGGCAGAGAGAGAGGGAGGCAGAGAGAGAGGGAGGCAGAGAGAGAGGGAGGCAGAGAGAGAGGGAGGCAGAGAGAGGGAGGCAGAGAGAGAGGGAGGCAGAGAGAGAGGCAGACAGAGAGAGAGACAGGCAGAGAGAAAGAGAGGCAGAAAGAGAGAGAGAGGCACAGAGAAAGCGAGAGACAGAGGAGAAGGAGAAACAGAGCGAGCGAGCGAGCGGAAGACGCTCACGCGGCCCCGGACTCTCACCCCGTCTCTGCAGAGGAGCTGCCGCGGCCGTCGCTGGTGGCGCTGCCCGGGCCGGTGGTGGGTCCTGGCGCCAACGTGAGCCTGCGCTGCGCGGGCCGCCTGCGGAACATGAGCTTCGTGCTGTACCGCGAGGGCGTGGCGGCCCCGCTGCAGTACCGCCACTCCGCGCAGCCCTGGGCCGACTTCACGCTGCTGGGCGCCCGCGCCCCCGGCACCTACAGCTGCTACTATCACACGCCCTCCGCGCCCTACGTGCTGTCGCAGCGCAGCGAGGTGCTGGTCATCAGCTGGGAAGGTGAGGGCCCTGAGGCCCGGCCCGCCTCCTCCGCCCCAGGAATGCAGGCCCCAGGACCTCCGCCCTCAGACCCAGGAGCCCAGGCCCCCAGCCTCTCCTCCTTCAGACCCAGGGGTCTAGTCCTGCAGCCCCTCCTCCCTCAGACCCAGGATTCCTGGGACCCAGCCCCTCCTCCCTCAGATCCAGGAGTCTAGTCCTCCAGCTCCTCCTCCCTCAGACCCAGGATTCCCGGGCCCCAGTACCTCCTCCCTCAGACCCAGGACTCCAGGCCCCCAGCCCCTCCTTCCTGGACCCAGGACTCCAGGCCCCCAGCCCCTCCTTCCTGATCCAGCAGTCCAGGCCCCAGCCCCTTCTTCCTGGACCCAGGAGTTGAAGCCTCCATCGACTCCCCCTCAACTTTGAGACTGTAGAGTCAGGTCCCTAAGTCCACCCCAGGGGCTGGAAACCTGGAGTTCAGGGCCCAGACTTTGGGGTCCGGGAGCTGATGGCCCCTCTCTCCCGGCTCCGCCCGCAGACTCTGGCTCCTCCGACTACACCCGGGGGAACCTAGTCCGCCTGGGGCTGGCCGGGCTGGTCCTCATCTCCCTGGGCGCGCTGGTCACTTTTGACTGGCGCAGTCAGAACCGCGCTCCTGCTGGTATCCGCCCCTGAGCCCCAGGAGCACTGCAGCCCGAGACTTCCAACCTGAGTGGCGGAGAAGCTGGGACCCTGGGCTGGACTGTCCTTTCCTGCAGCCCCACAGTCCTGCTGGCTGAGCTCCGCGGAACGGTCCTTAGACCCCGCTGTGCCCTGTGCTGTAGCTTCTTTCCAGGCCTTTCCCAAGGAGTAGCTGAAAGGAAGACGCGATTAGTGGTTAAGACTTCCAAGCCAGAAGACAGAGGGTTCGAATCCCAGCACTGCCGTCTACTCACTGTAGTAGTAGCAGCTACAGAAAGGTAGTAGTGAGACGTGAAGCCAGCTGGACTTCCTGGGTTGAATGGGGACCTGGAGAACTTTTCTGTCTTACAAGAGGATTGTAAAATGGACCAATCAGCACTCTGTAAGATGGACCAATCAGCGCTCTGTAAAATGGACCAATCAGCAGGACATGGGCGGGGACAATAAGGGAATAAAAGCTGGCGAGCGCGGCACCCCACCAGAGTCTGCTTCCACGCTGTGGGAGCTTTGTTCTCTTGCTCTACACAATAAATCTTGCTGCTGCTAACTCTTTAGGTCCGTGCCATCTTTAAGCGCTGTAACACTCACCACGAAGGTCCCTGGCTCCATTCTTAAAGTCAGCGAGACCACAAACCCACAGGAAGGAACCAACTCTGGACACGGTAGCAGCATTCAGAAAGCGCCCTTCCCCAACTCTCTCTTGCCTTGACGGTAAAATGGATGCACTGATAAAACCCACTTCATAGGATTGTTGTAGGATTCAGTGGGTAATACACATAAAACATTTAAAGCAGTAACTGGCCCGTAGTAAGTGTTCAATAAATGTTAGCTACCCTGTAACACCGATTTCTACCAGACTCAGTGCCGAAAGGAAGGTCTCACCTTTTTGCCATCAAGCATAATCAAGCACGACTTTTTCTTTCTTTCTTTCTTTTTTTTTTTTGAGAGAAGATCTCACTCCACCCAGGCTGGAGTGCAGTGGCGTGATCTCGGTTCACTGCAACATCCGCCTCCCGGGTTCAAGTGATTCTCGTGCCTCAGTCTCCTGAGTAGCTGGGATTACAGGTGTGCGCTATCACGCCCAGCTAATTTTTGTATTTTTAGTAGAGATGGAGTTTTGCCAAATTGGCCAGGTGGTCTCGAACTCCTGACCTCAAGTGATCCACCTGCCTCGGCCTCCCGAATAGCTGGGATTACAGGTGCGTACCACCATGTCCGGCTAATGTTTGTATTTTTAGTAGAGACGGGGTTTCACCATGTTGACCAGACTGGTCTTGAACTCCTGACCTCAAGTGATCCGCCCGCCTCAAGAACTGAATTTTGAAGTCTAATTAGCCACCTGGGGGCGCTAACGTGTTGAAAAGACGGGAGGAGAGACTGAGCGGGTCTTCCGGGGTTTGATCTCAGTGCCAGAGGGGCCTTGGTAGAACATATGTGGGACAACCTCCCCGGCATATGTGGCTGTGGGAAATAATAACAATTTTAAAAAAGGAATAAGCCGGGGGTGCTGGCTCACACCTGTGATCCTAGCACTTTGGGAGGCCGAGGCAGGTGGATCACGAAGTCAGAAGTTCGAGACCAGCCTGGACAACATGGTGAAACCCCGTCTCTACTAAAAATACAAAAATTAGCCGGGCGTGGTGGCGGGCGCCTGTAATCCCAGCTACTCGGGAGGCTGAGGCAGGAGAATTGCTTGAACCCAGGAGGCGGAGGTTGTAGTGAGCCGAGATTGCATCACTGCACACTCCAGCCTGGGTGACAGAGCAAAACTCCGTCTCAAAAAAAAAAAAAAAAAAAAAAAGAATAAAGAAGAGACGCAGGTTATAAGGAAGGCACCAGACCTGGATGAGGCTGTGATGTCATCAAATCCAGTCTTCCCACTTTATAAATGGGAAAATGGTGGAAAGAGAGGTGATATTAAGTTTACCTAAACATGTACAGGAAGTCAGTGGCACATCAGGGAGTCTTTTTTTTTCCTTTTTCCCTCTTTTTTTATTTTATTTTATTTTATTTTATTTTTTTTGAGGTGGACTTTCGCTCTTGTTGCCCAGGCTGGAGTGCAATGGCGCCATCTCGGCTCACCACAACCTCCGCCTCCCAGGTTCAAGTGATTCTCCTGCCTCAGCCTCCCGAGTAGCTGGGATTACAGGTGTGAGCCACCACACCTGGCTAATTTTGTATTTTGAGTAGAAACAGGGTTTCTCTGTGTTGGTCAGGCTGGCCTCGAACTCCCAAACTCAGGTGATCCGCCCGCCTCAGCCTCCCAAAGTGCTGGGATTACAGGCATGAGCCACCGTGCCCGGCCCTCTTTTTTTAAAAATGTATTTCCACCCAAAGCAGAGAAAAAGAAGTCTTGGCCGAGTTTGTACTTCAACTTAACTCCATGTATTCATCCATTCAATCACTCCTTCATTCACCATTCACTCATTCATGTCTAGCATTGATTCTCATCCTTATTCATTTCTATTGAGCATCTCTTTTTCCTTTGCTTTCATTTGTACATTTGTCTATTTCATTTGTCCTTATCCATCATGCATTCATTCATATTTCCATCCATTTACCCATCCATTTCTTCATTAACCAGTTTTTAATCCACTGAACTATTTATTCATTCAATATCCATCTATCTACCTGTGCATTTATCTATCCAATAAGCTTGAGATTTTTTTTCTTTTTGAGATGGAGTCTTGCTCTGTTTCCCAGGTTGGAGTGCAGTGTTGTGATCTCAGCTCACTACAATCTCCACCTCCCGGGTTCAAACGATTCTCCTGCCTCAGCCTCCCAAGTAGCTGGGATTACAGGCACCTGCCACCATGCCCGGCTAATTTTGTGTTTTTAGTAGAGATGGGGTTTCACCATGTTGGCCAGGCTGTTCTCGAACGCTTGACCTAAAGTGATCCATCTGCCCACCTTGGTCTCCCTTTAAAGTGCTGGGATTACAAGCGTGAGCCACCGCACCCAGCTGAGATTTCTTCATAGCAGTTTACCAGTGACCAGTGTTCAATGAATGCTTATTGAGTGAGTTGTAGTCACAATGCTTATTTCATTTTCTACCACTGAACATCTTTTCATACTGGTCATTTTGCTGGGTGATCCACATAGGTTATTTCTGATCAACAGCCCCCAAGACACACAGAAGTGCCTAACTTGGGACTTGTCTGTGTGGTTAGACTGCTGGGTCTTTTCCCCCTGTTCCTGCCTCTTAAAGCAATGACAACACTGCCATCACCACGCCTGGCCAATTTATTATTACTATTATTATTATTTTTTTTTTGAGATGGAGTCTCGCTCTGTTGCCAGGCTGTAGTGCAATGACGCGATCTCGGCTCACTGCAACCTCCGCCTCTTGGGTTCAAGTGATTCTCCTGCCTCGCCCTCCCGAGTCGCTGGGATTACAGGCGTGTGCCACCACCATGCCCAGCTAACTTTTGTATTTTTAGTAGAGATGGGGTTTCACCATGTTGGCCAGGATGGTCTCGATCTATTGACCTCGTGATCCACCCCCCTCGGCCTCCCAAAGTGCTGGAATTACAGGCGTGAGCCACCGCGCCCGGCTAATTGTTTACTTTTTATAGCTATGGGATCTCACCATGTTGTCCAGGCTGGTCTTGAATGCCTGGCCTCAAGCCATCCTCCTTCCTTGGCCTCCCAAAGTGCTGGGATTCCAGGAGTGAGTCACTGTGCCAGGCCTAGGGCTTCCACTGATTTCCCCTAGTCTCATTCATCCTCGTATCACTCATGTATTCAATGTCTACCGTGCATGGCATTGTGCTAGAGTCCGGCGGTCCAGTGGGGAGCAATAGCAGACATAAACCCTGCACTCATGGAACTCACAAAGTATTAACCAAATCACTGCATAGTGTATTGGTTACAGAGCACTTTAAGCTGTTGTAAAAAAGAATCTCCCGGCCAGGTGCAGTGGCGCACACCTGTAATCCTAGCACTTTGGGAGGCCAAGGCAGGTGGATCACCTGAGGTCAGGAGTTCGAGAGCAGCCTGATTAACATGGTGAAACCCTGTCTCTACTAAATACAAAAAATTAGCCTGGTGTGGTGGTGCATGCCTGTAATCCCAGCTACTCGGGAGGCTGAGGCAGGAGAATCACTTGAACCCGGGAGGCGGAGGTTTCACTGAGCCGAGGTCGTGCCATTGCACTCCAGCCTGGGCAACAAGAGCCAAGCTCCATCTCATAAAAAAGAGAGAGAGAGAGAAAAAAAGAATCTCCTTCACCACCGGAAAAAAACTAGATATAAATGTACCTCTCTCTCACTTAACAGTAAATCACTGGGCAATCTCAACGATTTACTTGTTAAGGTGGGATGGTTTTGCTTTTATCAACATGTAGCTTTAATTTCTGGTTCTGAGCCCCAAGAAAGAGGAGAGGACAGAGAGAAAAGGGCTCACACAATTATTATTTTTTTTTTTTTCCGAGTTGGAGTCTTGCTCTGTCGCCCAGGCTGGAGTGCAGTGGCGCGATCTCGGCTCACTGCAAGCTCCGCCTCCCGGGTTCACGCCATTCTCCTGCCTCAGCCTCCCAAGTAGCTGGGACTACAGGCGTCCACCACCACACCCGGCTAAATTTTTTTGTATTTTTAGTAGAGACGGGGTTTCACCGTGTTATCCAGGATGGTCTCGATTTCCTGACCTCGTGATCCGCCTGCCTCAGCCTCCCAAAGTACTGGGATTACAGGCGTGAGCCACTGCGCCCGGCCCACACAATTATTTTTTAAGAGCAGGACCTAGAATTTGAGCATGTATCTTCCTATCGCATCCCATTGGCTAGAACTTAGTCTCATGGACAGGTCTAGCCGCAAAAGTGACTGATGGAAATATGGTCTCTAGCCTGTGCCCTTCTAAAAATGAGGGTGGGAGGGGGTGGGATAGGTGCAGTGGCTCACTCATAATCCCAGCATTTTGGGAAACTGAGGCAGGAGGATGGCTTGAGGCCAAGAGTTTGAGACTCCCTTCTCTATTCAAAAAAAAAAAAAAAAATACAGTAGGCCAGGTGCGGTGGTTCACGCCTGTAATCCCAGCACTTTGGGAGGCCAAGGCAGGCAGATCACCTGAGGTCAGGAGTTGGAGACCACCCTGGCCAATATAGTGAAACCCCGACTCTACTAAAAATACAAAGCTGTAATCCCAGCTACTCGGGAGGCTGAGGCAGGAGAATCACTTGAACCCTGGAGGCAGAGGTTGCAGTGAGCTGATACACGCCATTGCACTCCAGCCTGGGCCACAGAGCGAGACTCCGTCTCAAAAAAAAAAAAAAAAAAAAAAAACAACGAATAAAACAAAAAAACAAAAAACAAACAAAAAAAAGTTTAATGATTTTTCTTCTCTCTAGGAGAAAATATGGAAGTAAAACAGGACCCATCTGAAGATCGTGTGTCCTCTGCTGATTTTAAATAGCCATGGAAAGTTAATGCCACCGCAAGGGGCAGCCCCGCCCTGGCACTCTGGAAACCTGGTACTTATCCACGCAATCAGAGGCTTGAACCACAGCTAAGCTGAGTCTCGGCGGGACCTCTTCTGATCCTCCGGGCACACAAGAGGATTGGGGGCTGGGGAGGAGCTGCTTCAAGGCCACCTCCGTTTTACCTCCCGTGATACCGTGATATAGTAAGAAATATGTACTTGGTCTTCAGCTTTGGTTCCAAAGACACCCTTCTCACCCCATCACTCTGGAATTTCCAAAAACCCTTGGTGAGAAGGGTGTCTTTTGTTATTTATAAGGAGCCTCTTTTCTCTCTTTCTCTCTTTCTTGCTTCCTTCCTTCCTTGCCTCCCTCCCTCCCTCCTTCCTTTTCTCTTTTCTTTTTTCTTCTTTCTTTATTTTTCTTTCTTTCTTTCTTTCTTTCTTTCTCTCTTTTCTTCTTTCTTTCTCTCTTCCCTTTCTCTCCCTTTCCTTTCCTTTCTCTCCCTTCCCCTCCCCTCCCCTCTCCTCTCCTCTCTTTTCCTTTCTTTTCCTTCCTTTCCTTCTTTCCTCTAATCCCAGCACTTTGGGAGGCCAAGGCGGGCGGATCTCTTGAGGTCAGGAGTTTCAGACCAGCCTGGCCAACATGGTGAAACCTCGTCTCTACTAAAAATACAAAAATTAATCGGGCATGGTGGCAGGCACCTGTAATTCCAGCTACTCTGGAGGCTGAGGCAGGAGAATCCCTTGAACTAGGATGCAGAGGTTGCGGTGAACCGAGATCTCACCACTGCACTCCAGCCCGGGCTACAGAGCGAGACTCCGTCTCAAGGAAATATAA
This sequence comes from Homo sapiens, assembly GCF_000001405.40. NCBI lineage: Eukaryota > Metazoa > Chordata > Mammalia > Primates > Hominidae > Homo > Homo sapiens. The sequence continues at coordinate 63,339 of NW_003571060.1, read as the reverse complement.
AAGAAAATAAAATAAATGTCTCCCAAAGAGACAAGTCAGATTAGCCTAAACCCAGGAATAACTACAAGCAGTTTGAGGGCCAAAGGCAAGGTAGGGGCTGGCCAGATCCGATCTCCTTCACTGCCATCGTTTGCTCACTCTCGTAATTTTTGCAAAGGAGGTTTCAATTGCATGGTTGTCAGCGAACATCCTATTCATCCATTTCTTGCTTTCTACCAGTAAAATTGAACTTTATAGGCCTGCTTTGTGCTTTTAAGGCTAACTAGCAAAATTCCAGAGTTTAGCCTTAAAAAATATTTATAATTGGCCGGGCACAGTGGCTTACACCTGTAATCCCAGCACTTTGGGAGGCTGAGGCGGGTGGATCACAAGGTCCGGAGATCGAGACCATCTTGGCTAACATGGTGAAACTCCGTCTCTACTAAACACACACACACACACACACAAAAGTAGCCGGGTGTAGTGGCACACGCCTGTAGTCCCAGCACTTTGGAAGGCTGAGGTGGGCGGATCATGAGGTCAGGAGATCGAGACCATCCTGGCTAACATGGTGAAACCCCGTCTCTACTAAAAATACAAAAAAAAAAAAAAGTAGCCGGGCGTAGTGGCACATGCCTGTAGTCCCAGCTACTTGGGAGGCTGAGGCAGGAGAATCACTTGAACCCGGGAGGCAGAGGTTGCAGTGAGCTGAGATTGTGCCATTGCACTCCATCCTGGGTGACAGAGTGAGACTCCATCTAAAAAAAAAAATTCTTTATAATTGATCAAAAGAAGTTTAAGAAATGGATTAAGAAGATCTCTTCTTTGCAGCTGTAGGGGAGGAGAGGGAGCTAGAGAGAGAGAGGGCATTGAGAGAGGAGAAAAAGATATTCTGTGCCATAAAACTAATTCAAGAATGTAGTTTAGGCGAGGCATGGTGGTTCACACCTGTAATCCCAGAACTTTGGGAGGTCGAGGCAGGCGGATCACTTGGGCCCAGAAGTTCGAGACCAGCCCTGGCCAACATGGCAAAACACTGTCTCTACTAAAAGTACAAAAATTAGCCCGGCGTGGTGGCACAACCCTGTAATTCCTTGTACTTGGGAGGGCTGGGGCAAGAGAATCACTTGAACCCGAGAGGCAGAGGTTGCAGTGAGTCGAGATCACACCACTGCACTCCAACCTGGGTGACACAGTGAGACCCTGTCTTAAAAAAAAAAAAACAAAAAAAAAAAAAACAGAGTGGGGTGGGGGGCTGGGGGAGGGATAGCATTAGGAGAAATACCTAATGTAAATGATAACTTGATGGGTGGAGCAAACCAACATGGCACATGTATCAAACCTGTACATTATGCACATGTACCCTAGAACTTAAAGTAAAAAAACAAAACAAAACAAACAAACAAAAAAATGGAATGTGGATTGATAAGTTAATAAACTGAGAATATTAAAAAGGCTCTAAATGTGTTTTATAGTCTTATGTAGTATGGAGATCTATGGATATTTATTACAGCAGCCAGTGTTCCATTCTGTGGTTCCATAAATCTGTGCTTTGAAGTGTAATTTGCACAAAATAATCTTGTAGGAGTCCAAAGACATTAGAAATTATTGCCAGTATTGCAATCATTATTTTGAAGGAGAAACCTTGGTGCCATTTGGTGGTCTTACTTAATATTTTGTTGCCCTGGTAACAATCTTATGATTGACATCTGAATTTCCAAGCAGAATAAATGCTTGTAAAAACAATTCTGTTAAATCAGAAGCTATGCATTGGTGTCTGTGTCTTAGTCTGTATTCTGTTGCTTAGAACAGAACACTTGAAGCCAGATAACTTATAAAGAAAAGGAATTTATTTCCTGTAGTTAATGGAGGTTGGAAAGTCCAAGGTGGAGGGGCTGCATCTGGTGAGGACCTTCTTGCTGTTGGGGACTCTCTGGAGGGTTCCGAGGTGGCACAGGGCATCACAGGGCAAAAGAGCTGAGCGTGCTACTTAAGTCTCTCTTCCTCTTCTGATAAAGCCACCAGTCTCACTCCCAGGGTAACCCATTAATCCATTAACTCACTAATCCATTAATCCATGAATGGATTAGTTCATTCATGAGAAAAGAGTCCTCATGACCCAATCACCTCTTAAATGCCCGACCTATCAATACGGCCACATTAGGGATTCAGTTTCACCATAAGTTTATTTATTTATTATTTATTTATGTATTTTTTGAGACAATGTCTTGCTATGTCACCCAGGCTGGACAGCAGTGGCATGATCTCAGCTCATTATAACCTCCACCTCCCAGGTTCAAGTGATTCTCCTGCCTCAGCCTCCTGAGTAGCTGGTATTACAGGCACGTGCCACCATGCCCGGGTAATTTTTGTATTTTTAGTAGAGACAGGGTTTCATCATGTTGGCCAGCTAGTCTCAAACTCCTGACCTCATGTGATCTGCCCACCTTGGCTTCCTAAAGTGCTGAGATTACAGGTGTGAGCCACCACACTCAGCTTATTTACCTATTTATTTTTTGAGACAGGGTCTCACTGTGTTGCACAGGCTGGAGTGCAGTGGTGCAATCACGGTTCACTGCATCCTCAGCTTTCTGGGCTCAGGTGATCCTCCCACTTCAGCCTCCTGAGTAGCTGGGATCACAGGCATGTGCCACCTCACCTGGCTAATTTTTAAATTATTTGTAGAGACAGGGTCTCCCTATGTTGCCCAGGCTGGTTCAACATGAGTTTTCAAGGGAACAAATATTCAAACCTTAGCAGCAGGTTAAATGATCTTTCTCCCACATTTATGATCGGAAAAAAAAAATTAAAGCCTGAGACTCTGCTAGACTTCTTACTTTAACAAGAGTCTGAGAGTCTTGTTTCATTTCCATTACAGCATCTATTAATAGTTCTGACTGAGAGAAGAGCTATCCTTTACTTTGACGATTATGAAGAATAGGGGAAAAGACATTAAAAAGACACAATTACACCATTGATGATTTTGTCACAGCTGAGATAAGTGCTGTTAAAGAACTTGCAGGGAAGTCTTTGCTAAAGAAAAGATTCTGAAGCTGGTTTCTGAGGGAAGAGTCAAAGTTAGCCAAGCAAAAATGGGGGAAAAACTCCAGATACAGGAGTTTTCAGGATGTTTCAGGGTCTGAGATGGGAAGGAGGTTATGTGTTCCAACCCAGTGGTTCTCAAACTTGACTGCACATTAGAATTTCCCAGGAACATTTAAAACACAGAATGAGACACCCAGGCCTCATCCTATACCCATTATAAAAATTAAAATCTCGACTGGGCACGGTGGCTCACACCTGTAATCCCAGCACTTTGGGAGGCCAAGGTGGGCAGATCACCTGAGGTCAAGAGTTCAAGACCAGCCTGACCAACATGGAGAAATCCCATCTCTACTAAAAAATACAAAATTAACTGGGTGTGGTGGCACTTGCCTGTAATCCGAGCTACTTGGGAGGCTGAGGCAGGAGAATCGCTTGAACCCGGGAGGCAGAGGTTGCAGTGAGCTGAGATCATGCCATTGCACTTCAGCCTGGGCAACAAGAGCAAAATTCCATCTTAAAAAAACAAAAATAAAAAAATAATTAAAATCTCTCGGTGGGACTCAGGCACTCAGTAAATATATATATATCTATTTCCATTGACCATAACACATGACAGACTAAAGATGGCCTCCAATTCTTTGTCACTGTCCCTATAGAGAGGTAGAGTTTATTTTCCCTCCCCTTGAATCTGGCCTTTCCTTAAGACTGTAGAAGAAGAGAAACTGTGTCAGTTCCAGGCTTAGTCTTTAAAGGGACAAACAACTTTTGCCTTCTTTATTTTATTTATTTATTTATTTATTTGAGACAGAGTCTCATTCTGTTGCCCAGGCTGGAGTGCAGTGGTGTGATCTCGGCTCACTGCAACTTCCGCCTCCCAGGTTCAAGCAATTCTCCTGCCTCGGCCTCCTGAGTAGCTGGGATTACAGGTGTGCACAAACACACCCGGCTAATTTTTTTTAATTTTGTTTTTAGTAGAGACGGGGTTTTACCATGTTGGCCAGGCTGATGTTGAACTCCTGACCTCAGGTGATCCACCCACCTCGGCCTCCCAAAGTGCTGGGATTACAGACGTGAGCCACCATGCCCAGCCGCCTTCTCTATTTTAGAAAGCTCTCTTGTGACATCCCCTCTTGAAACCCAGATGCTATCCTCCAAGAAGTCTGAATCAAATGGAGAGGCCATGTGCAGGTACATCATTCAACAGTCCTAGCCGAGCTTTCAACCAACATCCAGCATCAACAGCCAGCCATTTGCAAGTGCCATCTTGGAGATTCCAGCTCAGTTGAGCCACCCTGATGACTGAAGCCCAGGAAGACATCACATTGAACCGAAGAACCGCTCAACTGAGCCCAGTCATCTCACCAGATCAGGAATGATTAAAAAAAAAAAAAAACAAGATTGTTACTCTAAGTTACTCAGTTTTGGGGTGGTTTGTTAACACAGTAATTGATAACCTAAACCCAAAAGAGAACTAAATAATGATGACTTAAAACTAATACCAATTGATTTCTCCCTTATGTAGAATAAATCTGAAGGGAGCAGTCCAAGGCTGGCACAGTGACTCCAAAAAGCATTATGGACCTAAGTTACTTCTGGCTCACCCTCCACCATCTTGAACCTCATCTCATCTTCATGGTTCAAGATGACGCTAGAATACCAGTCATCACATCCACATTTTAGGCAGTTAAGTGAAGGAAGGAAAGTGTACTTCATTAAAGAACCTTTTGGAAGCTGTCTACAATATTTATGCTTATTTATCATTGTCCTAGATGAAGACTTACGGCTACATCTACCTGTAAGTGACACTGAAGAATGTAGTTTTTTACCTGGGTGCCAATGGGCCCAGCTAAAAATCAGAATTCTCAACAGCAAAAGGATGGCTTTGAGATAATCATGTAGATTATGTGCAGATAACTACAGATAAGTCCCCTCCCCCAAGTCTATTTTAAATTTTCTCCTGGAGTATTTTAAAGTAAACCTCAGATATAATATGATTTCATCTATAAGACTTTTTATTTTGGTAACATATTCTTAAGGTTAGGTGTGATAAACACCTAACAAAGTGAATGATTATTTATTTATTTATTTTATTATTATTTTTTGAGATGGAGTTTCACTCTTGTTGCCCAGGCTGGGGTACAATGGTGCGATCTCAGCTCACTGCCACCTCCCCCTCCCAGGTTCAAGTGATTCTCCCACCTCAGCCTCCTGAGAAGCTGGGATTACAGGTATATACCACCAAGCCTGGCTAATTTTTGTATTTTTTGTAGAGATGGGATTAGGCCATGTTGCCCAGGCTGGTGTTGAACTCCTGGGATCAAGCCTTCCACCTACCTCACCTCCCAAAATCTTAGGATTACAGGTGTGATCCACCTTGCCTGGCCCTAAGCTATTCTTTATTCTTTCTTTTTTCGTTTTTTGAATCAGGGTCTCCTTTCTTCATTTCCAAGTGGAATGGAACTTTACCAGGCCTTTCCTGTTGACTGATAAAATTCCAGAGCCTAGTTTTAAAATATGCATATTCCTTGTTAGCAACAGAGATGTTAAGAAGAAATATAGGAGATGTCCTCTTTTCCCTGATACTGCATAAGGAGAAAGATTTTTTCTGAGTCACAACACTAATTTAAGGAATCTGATTTGATAAAGAGTTGAATTGAGAAGATTCACAAGAATATCAGTCTTGTTTTCTGGTACAATATGGAGAACTAAATGAATATTCACAAACATTACTAAATTGTTCTCTGTTGAAATAAATTCATACACAAAACTGTTATTTGAACAAAAGGGTCTTGTAAGAGTCCCAAGCCTTTAAAAATCATTGCCACATCTTGTGAAAATAACTTTCAAAGAAACACCTGTAATTATAGTTGGTTTTACTCCTTATAATTTGTTGCCTTGTTGACTTTTCTATGTTCCAAAACAGTAAGAAGAGTAGGTGCTATCAAGACAAAAAATCCGAAAACAAAAACGAGACTTCGGGGCATTTTGCTCTTCTTCCAAATGCAAGATGAAAAAAAACATGGTTAAAAACTAACTTGCTTGATTTCTTATTTTAACAAAAAAATAAAAAATTTTGTCTGATTCAAATTAACATTTTTTTTTTTTTTTTTGAGACTGAGTCTCACTCTGTTGCCCAGGCTGGAGTGCAATGGTGCGATCTCAGCTCACTGCAACCTTTGCCTCCCAGGTTCAAGCAGTTCTCCTGCCTCAGCCTCCTGAGTAGCTGGGATTACAGGCGTGCACCACCACGCCCAGCTAATTTTTGTATTTTTAGTAGAGATGAGGTTTCACCATGGTTGGCCAGGCTGGTCTCGAACTCCTGACCTCAGGTTATCTACCTGCCCCGGTCTCCCAAAGTGTTGGGATTACAGGCATGAGCCACTGCGCCAGGCTAAATTAACATAATTATCAAATGCAATCTGTAGACTTTTATTGGATCCTGATTTATTCTTTAAAAACCTGATAGAAATGACATTTTTGAGACAATCAGGGAAATTTGAGTACTGAATGGGTATTAGCTGGTATCAAGGAGGTACTCTTAACTTTCTTGATGTGACAGTGCTGTGGTGCTTATATTATTTTTAAAATGGTTCTTATTTGATAAAGATAGATATGTACTGAAATATTCTGAACTTAAAAAATGAGCTCATGACTGGCTGGGCACAGTGGCTCATGCCTGTAATCCCAGCACTTTGGGAGGCTGAGGTGGGTGGATCACTTGAGATCAGGAGTTTGAGACCAGCCTGGCCAACATGGTGAAACCTCATCTCTACTAAAAAATACAAAAATTAACTGGGCATGTTGAAGGGCTCCTGTAATCCCAGCTACTTGGGAGGCTGAGGCAGGAGAACCGCTTGAACCTGGGGGGTGGAGGTTGCAATGAGATGAGATTTTGCCACTTCACTCCAGCCTGGGCGAAAGAGTGGAACTCTGTCTCAAAAGAAAAAAAAAAAATGGTGATGAAGGCCTGGCACAGTGGCTCATGCCTGTAATCCCAGCAGTTTGGGAGGCCGAGGCAGGTGGATCACTTGAGGCGAGGAGTTCAAGACTAGCCCAGCTAACTTGTGAAACCTCATCTTAACTAAAAATACAAACATTAGCCGGGCATGGTGGCATGCGCCTATAATCCCAGCTACTTGGGAGGCTGAGGCCGGAGAATTGCTTGAACCCAGGAGGCTGAAGTTGCAATGACCTGAGATCGTGCCACTGGACTCCAGCCCAGGTAACAGAACCAGACACCATCTCAAAAAAAAAAAAAAGAGTGAAGTGCTTTCATCTCTTCAATACGAACCCTTCAGGGCCAAGTCTGAAGCATTTTCGGGGTTACCTGTTTGATGCCTGAAATCTGCCTGAGACAGAGGAGCATTTCCTGTGAGTCAAGTGCTCGAACACTGGTGTGTGTAAGGAGCATGTTGCAATCAGCAACATCAACATGTTTCCTGAATGTGGATATGGGAGGGGAAACTGAAAGGCTAGGAAAGGCTGTTACTGCCCACACTCTGGGGTGGGAGAGAGGCAGCGACGACTCCAGCTCTTCTCCCATCTGTGGACTGCAGAACCCAAGACGGACTCTGGGAGGGCTAAGGAGCCATCATGATCCCTAAGCTGCTTTCCCTCCTCTGTTTCAGTAAGTCTCACAGGGCTATCCACTGGGACTGCAGAAAATCATGGAACTGGTGGGATAGTTGGGCTGGGGATGGAAATAATAACATCAACTTTGGCTTACTGAGCACACGGGAGGAGTGAGACGTCCTGCTGAGTGCAGTGCAGACATTCCCTGGAAACGAGTGCTCTGCAAACTTCAACTCCTGTAGTTTCAACTTCGTGAGTTTTGCTGAATGCCTCCACCACCTGGCTTCATTGGCTTACCCCTTTTCTCAGGATCAACTCTGACTTTTTGTGTGTAAGTAAAAGTATTCAGAATAGAAACCTTATTTTATTTTATTTTATTTTATTTTTTTGAGACAGAGTTTTGCTCTTGTTGCCCAGGCTGTAGTGCAATGGCATGATCTCGGCTCACCACAACCTCTGCCTCCCGGGTTCAAGCGATTCTCCTGCTTCAGCCTCCTGAGTAACTGGATTACAGGGGTGCGCCACCATGCCTGGTTAATTTTTGTATTTTTAGTAGAGACAGTGTTTCACCATGTTGGCCAGGCTGGTCTCGAACTCCCGACCTCAGGTGATCTGCCCACCTCAGTCTCTCAAAGTGCTGGGATTACAGATGTGAGCCACTGTGCCTGGCCCAGAAACCTTAATACCATAAATAAAAATTTAGTGTCAAATAGATAACTATAAAGTAAATTGAGGCCGCTGTGTAACCATCACCACTATCTACACTAAAACCTCTTTCTTTCTTCCTTCCTTCCTTCCTTTCTTTCTTTTTCTCCTTCCCTTCCTTCCTTCCTTCCTTCCTTCCTTCCTTCCTCCCTTCCTTCCTCTCTCTCTCTTTCTTTCTTTTTTTTTTTTTTGAGATGGAGTCTCGCTCTGTCGCCCAGGCTGGAGTGCAGTGGTGCGATCTCTGCTCACTGCAAGCTCCGCCTCCCGGGTTCACGCCATTCTCCTGCCTCAGCCTCCCGAGTAGCTGGGACTACAGGCGCCCGCCACCATGCCCGGCTTTTTTCGTAGGTTTCACTGTGTTAGCCAGGATGGTCTCCATCTCCTGACTTCTTGATCTGCCCGCCTCGGCCTCCCAAAGTGCTGGGATTACAGGCGTGAGCCCCCGCTTGCTTGCCTGCTTGCTTGCTTGCTTGCTTTCTTTCTTTCTTTCTTTCTTTCTTTCTTTCTTTCTTTCTTTCTTTCTTTCTTTCTTTCTTTCTTTCTTCCTTCCTTCCTTTCTTTCTTTCTCTTTCTCCTTCATTCCTTCCTTCCTCTCTCTCTTTCCCTTCCTTCCTTCCTTCCTTACTTCCTTCCTTCCTTCCCTCCTTTTCCTTTTTTTGAGACAAAGTCTCACTCTGTACCCAGGCTGGAGTGCAGTGGTATGACCACAGCTCACTGCAGCCTCCACCTCCTGGGCTCAAGCAATTCTCCTGCCTCAGCCTCCTGGGTAGCTGAGATTACAGGTGCCCACCACACACCCGGCTGATTTTTTGTACTTTTTAGTAGAGACGGGGTTTCATCATGTTGGCCAGGCTGGTCTTGAGCTCCCTCAGGTGATCACCTCAGGTGATCTGCCCGCCTCAGCCTCAGCCTCCCAAAGTGCTGGGATTACAGGCGTGAGCCACAGTGCCCCGTGTAATTTTTAAATTTTTTGTAGAGACGGGATCTCACTATGTTACTCAGGCTGGTCTCAAACTCCTGGCCTCAAGCAGCCCTTCTGCCTTGGCCTCCCAAAGTGCTGGGATTACAGGCGTGAGCCACTGTGGTGGCTCTGCCACCTTTTTCTCCCATCCTGGCCCTCAGCAGAATACCCACCTCCATTAGGAAGGCCAACCTGCCCGACTCAGCATTAGATTCAAATGCTGATCTTTCTAAAAACACCCTCACAGACACGCCCAGAAATAATGTTTAACCAGATATCCCAGCATCCTGTGGCCTGGTCTAGCTGATAAATCAAATTAACAATCACAATTCCCAATATGAACGCTACACCCTCTAACCAATAACTCTGTATTTGCCGCGGTCCTCCCAGCCCCTGGTAACCTCCATTCTAATTTCTTTTTTTTTTTTTTTTTTTCGGAGATGGAGTCTTGCTTCGTCACCCAGGCTGGAGTACAGTGGCCTAATCTCAGCTCACTGCAACCTCCGCCTCCTGGGTTCAAGCGATTCTCCTGCCTCTCCCTCCCGAGTAGCTGGGATCACTGGCGCTCACCACCATGCCTGGCTAAGTTTTTTTTTTTTTTTTTTTTAGTAGAGACAAGGTTTCACCATGTTGACCAGGCTGGTCTCGATCTCCTGACTTTGTGATCTGCCTGTCTCGGCCTCCCAAAGTGCTGGGATTACAGGCGTGAGCCACCGTGTCCAGCCCATTCTAATTTTTATCTCTATGAATTTGCTTATTCTAGGATGTATGAGTGGAATCATAACACTTGTTCTTTTTTGCCTGACTTAGTTTACTCAGCATAATATCCTCGAGCTACATCTATATTGTAGGATATGTCAGATTTCCTTTCCTTTTTATGGCTAAAATCCCACTGTAGGCCGAGCACAGTGTCTCACACCTGTAATCCCAGCACTTTGAGAGTCTGAGGCAGGCAGATCGCTTGAGCCCAGGAGTTCGAGACTAGCCTGGGCAACATGGTGAAACCCTGTCTCTACAAAAAATACAAAAATGAGGCTGGGCATGGTGGCTCACGCCTGTAATCCCAGCACTTTTTTTGCAATGACCTGACGTAAGGAGTTCGAGAACAGCCTGGCCAATAGGGTGAAACCCCATTTCTACTAAAAATATAAAAATTAGCCATGCGTGGTGGCGGGCGCCTGTAATCCCAGCTACTTGGGAGGCTGAGGCAAGAGAATCGCTTGAACCCAGGAGTCAGAGGTTGCAGTGAGCCGAGATCATGCCATTGCACTCCAGTCTGGGCAACAAGAGCGAAACTCCATCTCAAAATAAATAAATAAATATTAAAAACAACAACAACAACAAAAATGAGCTGGGCATGGTGGTGTGCAGCTGTAGTCCCAGCTACTCGGGAGGCAGAGGTGGGAGGATCACCTGAGCCCAGGGAGTTGATGCTGGAATGAACTAGGATCACATCATTGCACTCCAGCCTGGGCAGCAGAGCGAGACCCTGCCTCAAAAAAAAAAAAAAAAAAAAAAGAAAGAAAGAAAAGAAAAAGAAAAAAGCATTTTGGAGGCTAAGATGGGCGGATCACCTGAGGTGGGGAGTTCAAGACCAGCCTGACCAACATGGTGAAACCCTGTCTCTACTAAAAAATACAAAATTAGCTGGGCATGGTGGTGCATGCCTGTAATCCCAGCTACTTGGGAGGCTGAGGCAGGAGAATCACTTGAACCCACAAGGCGGAGGTTGCAGTGAGCTGTAATCCCAGCTACTTGGGAGGCTGAGGCAGGAGAATCACTTGAACCTGCAAGGCGGAGGTTGCAGTGAGCTGTAATCCCAGCTACTTGGGAGGCTGAGGCAGGAGAATCACTTGAACCCGCGAGGCGGAGGTTGCAGTGAGCCGAGATCGCGCCATTGCACTCCAGCCTGGGCAACAAGAATGAAACTATGTCTCAAAAAAAAAAAAAAAAAAAACGAAGAAAAAGAAGAAAAATCCCATTGAATATATAGAGCACACTGTGTTTATCCATTCTTCCATGGATGGACACTTACGTTGTTTGAACATTTTGGGTGTTCACAATTTCCTTTTGCAAAACTTGAAGTGTCAGTTTATGGATTGGCTCATGGATGTAATAGTAGCACAAACGCCTGGTAACTTCTCCTTTTTCCTGCTGAGACCTAAAACTGTTCACACAGGGGAAAAAGAGGAAATCTCTCAGAGACACAGGCCTAACTAACTTTCTTTGAGTTAGATCAATCTCATTATTATGATAATGTTCATAAACAGGCTTGATATTATGTTTTTTCTTTTCTTTCTCTTTTTTTTTTCTTTCCTGAAACTGAGTCTCGCGCTGTGGCCAGGCTGGAGTGCAGTGGTGCGATCTCAGCTCATTGCAAACTCTGCCTCCTGGGTTCAAGCGATTCTCTGCCTCAGCCTCCTGAGTAGCTGGGATCACAGGCGCCCATCACCACACCTGGCTAATTTTTGTATTTTTAGTATAGACGGGGTTTCACCATGTTGGCCAGGCTGGTCTTCAACTCCTGACCTCGTGATCCACCTGCCTCGGCCTCCCAAAGTGCTGGGATTACAGGCGGGAGCCACCGCGCCCGGCATGGTCAAGAGTTCTTAACCAGCCCAGCCCTGTCTCTATCAAAAAAAATTAAAAAGGAGGAAGAGCAAATGCAGCCATGTGTGAAACAGGGAGGAACGTATGCTTTCCCCTTTCTGGAATGACCATTTGGATGTTTTGAGGCTTGTTACAGGACACCAAACAATAAATTTTGTCCTGTTTGGAGTCATGAAGGGATTAAAAGAGATCATGAGCCTGGGCAACATAGGGAGACTCTGTCTCTGGGAAAGACTAAAAAATTAGCCGGGTGTGGTGGTGCACACCTGTGATCCCAGCTACTCGGGAGGCTGAGGTGGGAGGATCACTTGAGCCTGGGAGGCTACAGTGAGCCATGATGGAGCCACTGCACTCCAACCTGGGCAACAGAGAGAGACCCTGTCTCAAAACACAATAATAAAATGAAAAATTAAAAAATAAAAAGAAGCTGGGCACAAAGCTCATGCCTGTAATCCCGGCACTTTGGGAGGCCGAGGTGGGTGGATCACCTGAGGTCAGGAGTTCGAGACCAGCCTGGCCAATATGGTGAAACCCTGTCTCTACTAATAATACAAAACTCAGCCGGGCGTCCTGGCGCATGCCTGTGATCCCAGCTATTTGGGAGGCTGAGGCAGGAGAATCACTTGAACCCGGGAGGCGGAGGTTGCAGTGAGCCGAGATTGCGTCACTCTACTCCAGCCTGGGCGACAGAGCGCAACTCTGTCTCTGGAATGAATGAAAGAAAGAAAGAATGAATGAAAGAAAGAAAGAATGAATGAAAGAAAGAAAGAAAGAAAAAGAAAGAAAGAGCGAGACTCTGTCTCTGGAATGAATGAAAGAAAGAATGAATGAAAGAAAGAAAAAAGAAAGAAAGAAAGGAAAGAAAAAGAAAGAAAGAAAGAAATGGTAAGAATGAGTGCTGTTTTCAAACAGAAGATGAGAATGGAAGGATTTGTGGGAAAGGCCTGGAGCAGGGGGAGGTGACAGCCACACAGGATGGTCAAGGAGAATCGCTGGGAAAGGATGGAGGAGCTGGAAGTCGAGCAGAAGCCACAGTCCAGTGTGGGGAGAATGAGAACTCCTGAGCGTATGACCTCTAAGGGTCTGTTCTCAGCAGGAGACTCTGGGACGATCTCCAGGGGTCAGGGCAGGGGGTGACGTGGCTCCAGGTAGGGGCTTCTGGCTCACGGAGGATTGTCTTGCAGGACTGTGCGTGGGCCAAGGAGACACAAGGGGAGATGGTGAGTGTTTCTTCAACTACACCCTCCTTGGCCTGTCATCCCAAATCCCCTGCTGTTCTCTTCCCCTTCCCCCTCTTTTTCTCTTTTTTTTTTGACGGAGTCTCACTCTTTCGCCAGGCTGGAGTGCGGTGGTGCAATCTCGGCTTACAGCAACCTCCGCCTCCTGGGCTCAAGTGATTCTCCTGTCTCAGCCTCCCAAGTAGCTGGGACTACGGGTGCTTGCCACCACGCCCAGCTAATTTTTGTATTTTTAGTAGAGACGGAGTTTCACCATGTTGGCCAGGATGGTCTCGATCTCATGACCTCGTGATCTGCCTGCCTTGGCCTCCCAAGGTGCTGGGATTACAGGCGTGAGCCACCGCACCCAGCCCGCTTCCCTTCTTAAAATGGGATTCCTGATTGGGCTCAGGGGTTCACGCCTGTAATCCCAGCACTTTGGGAGGCCAAGGTGGGTGGATCACCTGAGGTCAGGAGTTCGAGACCAGCCTGGCCAACATGGTGAAACCTTGTCTCTACTAAAATACAAAATTAGCTGGGTGTGGTGGTGCGTGCCTGTAATCCCACCTACTTGGGAGGCTGAGGCAGGAGAATTGCTTTAACCCAGGAGACGGAGGTTGCAGTGAACTGAGATTGCACCACTGCACTCTAGCCTGGGCAACAGAGGGAGACTCCATCTCAAAATAATAATAATAATAATAAATTTTAAAAAGGGCTTCCTGAGAGCAGGGGAGGGCATCGGGTCCAGCATCAGGCTCTGCTTCCTTCCAGGGTCACTGCCCAAGCCGTCCCTCAGTGCCTGGCCCAGCTCGGTGGTCCCTGCCAACAGCAATGTGACGCTGCGATGTTGGACTCCTGCCAGAGGTGTGAGCTTTGTTCTCAGGAAGGGAGGAATTATTCTGGAGTCCCCGAAGCCCCTTGATTCTACAGAGGGCGCGGCCGAATTTCACCTCAATAATCTAAAAGTCAGAAATGCTGGAGAGTACACCTGTGAATACTACAGAAAAGCATCCCCCCACATCCTTTCACAGCGCAGTGACGTCCTTCTACTGTTGGTGACAGGTACAGACAGGGTGCCTGCCAATGACATACGGGGGACAGGGGATGAGGGAGGAAGTGGAGGAACAGAGGGAGAAAAGGGGTCCCACCTTCAGAGTAGTTGGGGGTGATGGGAGAGGGAGAGAGACAGGAACGAAATTGCATATGTTGGTTTTATACTTTGTCGCCCAGGCCAGAGTGCAGTGGTGCCATCTCGGCTCACTGCAACTTCCGCCTCCTGGGCTCAAGTGATTCTCCTGCTCCAGCCTCCTGAGCAGCTGGGATTACAGGTGCCTGCCACCATGCCCGGCTAATTTTTGTATTTTTAGTAGAGACAGGGTTTCGCCATGTTGGGCAGGCTGGTCTCGAACTCCTGACCTCAGGTGATCCACCCGCCTTGGCCTCCCAAAGTGCTGGGATTACAGGTGTGAGCCACCATGCCAGGCCTTACACAGGTCTTGTAGGAGGGAGAATCTCTGTCCTGGGGTCGGAGTAGGAAGTGGAGGAAGGTAGAAGAGATCAGGAATCTCTCATTTCCCACACTCCACGAGAGCCTCCGGCCAGGAGAACAGGGGTGAGTGGGGGATTCCAGACTTCTCCCCAGGACCTCAGAACCTGACTTCTCTTACAGGACATTTATCTAAACCTTTCCTCCGAACCTACCAAAGGGGTACAGTGACCGCAGGTGGAAGGGTGACTCTGCAGTGCCAGAAGCGAGACCAATTGTTTGTGCCTATCATGTTCGCTCTACTGAAGGCAGGGACGCCATCACCCATCCAGCTGCAGAGTCCAGCGGGGAAGGAGATAGACTTCTCTCTGGTGGACGTGACAGCCGGCGATGCTGGGAACTACAGCTGCATGTACTACCAGACAAAGTCTCCCTTCTGGGCCTCAGAACCCAGTGATCAGCTTGAGATATTGGTGACAGGTAAGGGCGTGTATGGTTTTGAGGAACTGTGTGTGTTGTTTTTAATCAGAGATTGTTTTGTTCTTCTGTGAATCTCATTTCTTCATTACTTACAATATCATCGCTCTTAACAAAATCTTCCCTTTCTGGCCTGGCGTGGTGGCTCATGCCTGTCATCCCAGCACTTTGGGAGGCCGAGGTGGATGGATCATCTGAGGTCAAGGATTTGAGACCAGCCTGGCCAACATAGTGAAACCCCGTCTCTACTAAAAATAAAAAATTAGCCAGGTATGATGGCATGCACCTGTAGACCCAGCTACTTGGGAGGCTGAGGCAGGAGAATTGCTTGAACATGGGAGGCGGAGGTTGCAGTGAGCCAAGATCTTGCCACTGCACTCCAGCCTGGGCAATAGAGTGAGACTCTGTCTCAAAAACAAAAAACAAAAAACAAAAACAAAAACAACAAAACAACAAAAAAACCTCCCTTTCACAATTTCCACTCCTTTGCCTTTTTTTTTTTTTTTTTTTTTTGAAATGGAGTCTCACTCTGTTGCCAGGATGGAGTGCAATGGCGCGATCTTCGCTCACTGCAACCTCCACCTTCCAGGTTCAAGTGATTCTCCTGCCTCAGCCTCCCAAGTAGCTAGGATTACAGGCCTGCACCACCCATCCGGCTAATTTTTCTATTTTTAGTAGCGATGAAGGTTTCACCGTGTTGACCAGGCTGGTCTTGAACTCCTGACCTCAGGTGATCTGCCTGCCTCGGCCTCCCAAAGTGCTGGGATTACAGGTGTGAGCCACCGTGCCCGGCCCTCCTTTGCCTTTTTGTTATACTACATCCTTGGAAAATTTCTAGGCTGTTTTTGAAAATTATGAATCTACCAGCACCAGATTCCTTCTACCAGTCTTTGCATCTCTTAGCGTTTTGGTTTTTTGTTTTGTTTTGTTTCATTTTGTTTTTGAGACAGAGTCTCGCTCTGTTGCCCAGGGTGGAGTGCAGTGGTGCGATCTCAGCTCACTGCAACCTCTGCCTCCCGAGTTTAAGCAATTCTCCTGCCTCAGCCACTTGAGTAGCTGGGATTACATGTGCCCACCACCACGCCTGGCTAATTTTTGTATTTTTAGTAGAGATGGGGTTCTGACCATGTTGACCAGGCTGGTCTTGAACCCCTGGCCTCAGGTGATCCACTCACCTCGGCCTCCCAAAGGGCTGGGATTGCAGGTGTGAACCACTGTGCATGGCGTGTTTTGGTTTTTCTTGGTGTTAGTGATTTCACTCTCAATAATTCTTTCTCAGTCATGTGCGGTGGCTCAGGCCTGTAATCCCAGCACTTTGGGAGGCTGAGGCTGGAGAATTGCTTGAGCCCAGGAGTTTGAGACCAGCCTGGGCAACATAGTGAGACCCAGTTTCAAATTAAAAAAAAAAATTATCTCATCCTCAGAACATGGTGTTTGCACAGCCTCCTGCTTCTATGCCGTGGATGCGAAGTCTACCCATGTCTTTTATTGACTGCTAGAATTCTTCTGAAAGTATCTTGTTTCCTGCCTTACTGGGTGCTAGCACTCTGCTTCCTCAGCTCTGTAAATTATTTTTCATCTATTGTAACTGCTGTAATGAGTTACATTACAGCTCTTGCCGGGTGCCTGGATGAAGCCCATTCATCAAGACAGAGGAATTGCAAAAAAGAGTTTAATACACATTGAGCCAGGTAAGTGGGAGACCAGAGTTTTTTTGTTTGTTTGTTTGTTTGAGACGGAGTCTTGCTCTGTCGCCCAGGCTGGAGTGCAGTGGCGCGATCTCGGCTCAATGAAACCTCTGCCTCCCAGGTTCAAACGATTCTTCTGCCTCAGCCTCCCGAGTAGCTGGGACTATATGTGTGCCACCCTGCCTGGCTAATTTTTGTATTTTTAGTAGAGATGGGGTTTTACCATATTGGCCAGGCTGGTCTCGAACTCCTGACCTCGTGATCTGCCCGCTTGGGCCTCCCAAAGTGCTGGGATTACAGGCATGAGCCACTGCACCTGGCCAATCAGAGTTTTATTATTACTCAAATCAGCCTCCCTGAAAATCTGGAGGCTAGGGTTTTGTTTGTTTGTTTGTTTTCTTTGAGATGGAGTCTCACTCTGTCGCCCAAGCTGGAGTGTAGTGGCACAATCTGAGCTCACTGCAGCCTCCACCCCCCAACCCCAGGCCCAGGTCAAGTAATTCTCCTGCCTCAGCCTCCTGAGTAGCTGGGATTACAGGCACCCGCCACCACACCCGGCTAATTTTTTTGTATTTTTAGTAGACATGGGGTTTCGCCATGTTGCCCAGGCTGCTCTCAAACTCCTGGCCTCAAGCAATCCTCCTACCTTAGCCTCCCACAGTGCTGGGATTACAGGCGTGAGCTACTGTGCCCGGCCTCAACTCAAACTTTCTCAGGTGCACTGCTGCACAGCAGTGTGGGCTGCGAGGATGCTGATCCAGCCACGGAATTCGGGGCTCTGTAGAGCTCCTTCCGTCTCATGTGCTGCCCCAAGACTATTCCTTAACATAAGGATGCGGGAGGAGAAAAGGCAATGTGGGAAGGTGGAAATGGGATAAAGAGCAAATAAACGAAGGAAGAGAGCTAAGGTGGAGTGAATATCAAGGAAGGAAGATAAAGGAACTCCCATTACAACTCATTAGGATTGCATATCTTGGCCGGGCGCGGTGGCTCAGGCCTGTAATCCCAGCACCTTGGGAGGCCGAGGCAGGCGAATCACTTGAGGCCAGGAGTTCGAAACCAGTTTGGCCAACATGGCGAAAACCCATCTCTATTAAAAATACAAAAATTAGCCGGGTGTGGTGGTAGGTGCCTGTAATCCTAGCTATTCGGGAGGCTGAGGCAGGAGAATCGCTTGAACCCAGGAGGTGGAGGTTGCAGTGAACCGAGACTGCGTCGCTGCACTCCAGCCTGAGCAACAGAGTGAGACGTCGTCTCAAAAACAACAACAAAGATTCCATCTTTTGTTTTCAGGGATTAAAACTTTAAAGAGCTCAATTATGGCCAGGCATGGTGGTTTATGCCTATAATCCCAACACTTTGGGAGGCCAAGGCGGGTGGATCACCTGAGGTCAGGAGTTCGAGACCAGCCTGACCAACATGGAGAAACCCCGTCTCTACTAAAAATACAAAATTAGCCGGGTGTGGTGGCACATGCTCATAATCTCAGCTGCTTGGGAGGCTGAGACAGGAGAATCACTTGAACCCGGGAGGCAGAGGTTGTAGTGAGCTGAGATTGTGCCATTACACTCCAGTCTGGGCAACAAGAGCAAAACTTGATCTCAAGAAAAAAAAAAAGTTCAATTAAAACTTTAAAGTACAGTGGACTACTGGCTAGAAAACATTAAGTGGGTGGCCGGGCGCGGTGGCTCACACCTGTAATCCCAGCACTTTGGGAGGCTGAGGTGGGCGGGTCACCTGAGGTCGGGAGTTCAAGACCAGCCTGGCCAACATGGCGAAACCCCGTCTCTACTAAAAATATAAAATTAGCCGGGCATGGTGGCACATGCCTGTAATCCCAGCTACTTGGGAGGCTGAGGCAGGGAGGCTTGAACCTGGGAGGCAGAGGTTGTGGTGAGCTGAGATTACACCACTGCACTCCAGCCTGGTCAACAAGAGTAAAACTCCGTCTCAAAAAAAAAAACCAAAAAACCGAAAACATTAAGTGGGTGATGATAGTCAGATTTGGTGGGGCCATTTGAGAAGGAGGGATACCCTCTGAGGGTCAGTGCTGAGCCCCTTCTCTCTTTCAGTTCCCCCAGGTACCACATCGAGCAACTACTCCCTGGGTAACTTCGTACGACTGGGTCTGGCTGCCGTAATTGTGGTTATCATGGGAGCTTTCCTGGTGGAGGCCTGGTACAGCCGGAATGTGTCTCCAGGTGAATCAGAGGCCTTCAAACCAGAGTGACTCCATCTTGAACCGGGGCTGGGTAAACTGAGGCTGCAACCTGCTGGACTGCATTCCCAGGGGGTTGAGGCTTTCTAAGTCACAGGATGAGACAGGTCACAACATACAGGTCACAAAGACCCAAAGACACAAAGATGCAACAAAGAAGCCAGCCAAAACCTGCCAAATCCAAGATGGCAACAAAAGTGACTTCTGGTCGTCCTCACTGCACATTATTTGCTAATTATAATGCATTTGCATGCTAAAAGACACTCCCACCGCCACCAAGACAGCTTACAGATGCCATGGCAACTTCCAGAAGCTAAACGAGGGAGGGACTCTCAGTTCCAGGGAAATCCCCTCCCCTTTCCTGGAAAACTCATGAACAGTCCACCCCTTGTTTAGCATACGATCAAGAAATAACCACAAAAATAGCCGACTGACAGCCCTCTGGACTGCTCTGCCTATGGAGCAGCCATATTCCTTGACTTTCTTAATAAACTTGCCTTCACTTTACTCTGTGTACTCACCCTGAGTTCTTACTTGTGTGAGATCCGAGAACCCTCTCTTGGGGTCTGGACTGGGACCCCTTTCCAGTAACAGATCCAAGTTAAAACACGGATCCCCTCTCTCTTTCATGGGCTGCTGTAGAGATATGGAATTCTCTTCTGCTCCAGATTTATTGAGATCTAATCGACAAATAAAAATGGAGTTATATTTGTGTACAACGTGATGTTTTGATATATTCCATTTTGATTTATCAATTATACCCCCATAAGCCTACGGGTGGGGAACCCTCCTACTAAGTAATTTATTGTGTACCAAGGAAGAAATTTCACTGATTGTGACATGAGTATCACAATGTAGCTAACGAACCTTTCTGTTTAAGATCC
Source organism: Homo sapiens (assembly GCF_000001405.40). Taxonomy (NCBI): domain Eukaryota; kingdom Metazoa; phylum Chordata; class Mammalia; order Primates; family Hominidae; genus Homo; species Homo sapiens. The sequence continues at coordinate 43,497 of NW_003571060.1, read as the reverse complement.
ACCTTCTGGGAACCTCCCTACTAAATAATTAATTGTGTACCAAAGAAGAAATTTCACTAATTGTGACATGATTATCACAATGTAGCTAATGGACTTTTCTGTTTAAGATCCACCTTCTGGGAACTTTCCTACTAACTAAGTAATTAATTGTGTGCCGAGGAAGAAATTTCACTCATTGTGACAATGGTTATCTCAATCTAGCTTATGGACCTTTCTGTTTAAGATCCACCTTCTTAGCAAATTGTAATTACCCAGTGCAGCCTTGTGAACTGTAGCCGCCCTGCTGTGCATTCAATCCATATGGGGTTCTTTAAACATCAGACTCTACCATGGGGACTTCACACGTTTCTCCACATGGGCACAAATGGTATTTTTTGTTTTTTTGTTTGTTTGTTTGTTTTGAGACAGAGTCTCGCTTTGTCGCCCAGGCCAGAGTGCAGTGGTGCGATCTCGGCTCATTGCAACCTCCGCCTGCCAGGTTCAAGTGATTCTCCTGCCTCAGCCTCCCAAGTGGCTGCAACTACAGGCACCTGCCACCATCTGGCTAATTTTTTTGTATTTTTAGGAGAGACGGGGTTTCGCCACATTGGTCAGGCTGGTCTCGAACTCCTGGCCTCAAGTGATCCACCTGCCTCAGCCTCCCAAAGTGCTGGGATTACAGGTGTGCACCACCGGGCATGGCCACAAATGGTGTTTAAAGTGCAATAGTCCTTCACCATGTGAGACTGTCTTGTCCATTATAGGAACACGTAACTCGACATTGCTAATACTTCCTTTCCCATTGAACACCTGTTGGAGACCTAATTATTGTGAAACAACAACAACAAAAAAGCCACTACTCTCATACCTTTCAAATATCCCTGGATGGGGCGATGGGAAGTGAGGGTGGTGCTCCCCCTGGTTGAAAAGCTGTGTTTGGATGCCGGGAGAAAACAATCTTCCTCCTCTTCCTTCCCCTCTAAGCTCAGCTCTGTTCTTCTCTAGCCATAGATCCCACAGCTGCCCAGGGAATGATGGGTTGGACCAGCTGAGCCTTAACCGCTTTCTGTGGAACCTGCACTCTCAGCTCTGTTGGGATCTGCTGTAGGGCAGGATGGTGGCTTTCTTCTTCCTGTACTTTTCACTGGGGACAGAGGACAGAATTGGGCACAATGAGCCACGTAATACTTTTTTTTTTTTTCTTTGAGACGGAGTCTCGCTCTGTCACCCAGGCTGCAGTGCAATGGCAAGATCTCGGCTCACTGCAACCTCCACCTCCTGGGTTTAAGCGATTCTCCTGCCTTAGCCTCCCAAGTCGCTGGGATTACAGGCGCCTGCCACCATGCCCAGCTAATTTTTGTACTTTTAGTAGAGATGGGGTTTCACCCATGTTGGCCAGGCTGGTCTTGAACACCTGAGCTCAAGTGATCAGCCCACCTCGGCCTCCCAAAGTGCTGGGATTGCAGGCTTGAGTCACCGTGCCCAGCCCTTAATACATTTTTGATAACTTGAATCAATACTTAAAACTTCAGAGTCAGATTGAGTAGTAGGTGACTCTCACCTGCGGGGAACTCTTCCTCCACACGAAGGGAAAAACATTGCTTCCTGTGTAATATTTATTAATACTTCCTCTCCGTTCTTTCTATTTTGTGCTTCTGGACCAGCATTTAGTCCAATATTGGGATATACATATTTATTTATTTATTATATTTATTTATTTTGAGACAGGGTCTCACTCTGTCGCCCAGGCTGGAGTGTAGTGGCTAGATCACGGCTCACTGCAGCCTCGACCTCCCAGGCTAAAGTAATCCTCCCATCTCAGCCTTCTGAGTAGCTGGGACCACAGGTGTGTGCCATCATGCCGGACTAAATTTTGTATTTTTTGTAGAAGCCGGGTTCCACCATATGGCCCAACTTGGTCTCGAACTCTTGGACTCAAGTGATCCTCTCATCTTGGCCTCCCAAAGTGCCAGGACTACAGGCGTTAGCCACTGTGCTTGGTCATATGTATTTATAATACATTCTTTCTTTCTTTTTTTTTGGAGAGGGAGTCTCACTCTGTCACCCAGGCTGGAGTGCAGTGGCGTAATTTCAGCTCACTGCAACCTCCCTCTCAGGTTCAAGTGACTCTCCTGCCTCAGCCTCTCAAGTAGCTGGGATTACAGGCGCCCACCACCATGCCTGGCTAATTTTTGTGTGTTAGTAGAGACGGGGTTTCACCATGTTGGCGAGGCTGGTCTCGAACTCCTGACCTCAAGTGATCTGCCCACCTTGGCTTCCCAAAGTGCTGGGATTACAGGCATGAGCCACCACGCCCAGCCTGTATTTATAATACATTTCTTTTACATTTTATTTTATATGTTTCCAACATTTTACCCAGTTTGGCAGGAATTCCATTCTATCCATGGCATCCATTTGCTTGTAATTGGTAGCCAGTCTTACTGGTGCAGATGTAAAATGTCAACAGTTGCCAGGTGCTGTGGCTCATGCCTATAATCCCAGCACTCTGGGAGGCCGAGGTGGGCGGATCACAAGGTCAAGAGATCGAGACCATCCTGGCCAATATGGTGAAACCCCATCTCTACTAAAAATACAAAAATTAGCTGGGCGTGGTGGTGCATGCCTGTAATCCCAGCTACTCAGGAGGCTGAGGCAGGAGAATTGCTGGAACCCGGGAGGCAGAGGTTGCAGTGAGCCGAGATCTCACCACTGCACTGCAGCCTGGGCGACAGAGCGAGACTCCGTCTCAAAAAAAAAAAAAAAAAAAAAGTCAACATTTATGTTTTGTTGTTACATTTTGTTTTCAAGATTTGTTGCTGTTTCTTGTTAATAGTCTTATTATTTTTCGTAAATATCATTCTTATTTTATAACTATTGTCTCCTCTGTTATAACTCTGAGGATGTGCTTATCAAAGCAATATTCCTCCTCTTCCTCCACTAACCACAGGTTGGTCCTTCTCTATCCACAGACCACACAGCTGCCAAGGGTAGCATGCGCTAGAGCTGCCGATCCTTAGAGTTTCCTGTGCAGCCAGCATTTCCAGCTGTTTGAGAGCCGCACCAGGACAGGACGATGGCTTTCTTCCCATCCTCCTCACTTAGGACAGGACGGGGTGGGCACAGGGACCCATCCAGCAAGTTATTATTTTTGTAGTTATTAAGATAGAAAGTATAGGCCGGGCATGGTGGCTCACACCTGTAATCCCGCCTCAGCCTCCCAAAGTGCTGGGATTACAGCGGTAAGTCATCATGCCCAGACGATTATTTTTTATTTGTATACGTTTATGGGGTACAAGTGTAACTTTATTGCATGGATAGATTCCAAAATGATGAAGTTAGGGCTTTCAGGTATCCACTAACCCAGTGACACACATTGTATCCATTAGATAATTCTTTTTTTTTGATGGAGTCTTGCTCTGTGACCCAGGCTGGAGTGCAGTGGCGTGATCTCAGCTCACTGCAACCTCCGCCTCCCGGGTTCAAGCGATTCTCCTGCCTCAGCCTCCTGAGTAGCTGGGACTATGGGCGTGTGCCACCACGCCCGGCTAATGTATCCATCATCATAACACACAACCATTTGAATGAATCTCACAGGCATTGTGCTGAGTGAAAAAGGTCACCCTCAGAAGGTGAGGCGATGGACGATTCCATTTATACAAGAGTCTCAAAGTGACAAAGTGATAGAGACGTAGAACAGATTAGCAGGTGCTAGGGTGGGAGAGCGATTATAAAGGGGCAGCATGAGGGAGTTCCTACGTGGTGGTGGGACAGTTCTGTGTCTTGATTGTGGCGGTGGTTCTATAAAGCCATACATACAGGCAATAAAATGTTACAGAACTATACCCATAGGCAAAGAAAAGGGAGGAGGAAAAGAAGGTGGAAGAGGAGGAAGAGCAGGAGAAAAGAAGGAAAAGGAGAAAAGGAAATAGAAATAGAAGGAAGAGGAAGAGAAAAAGAGAAACGAATTATGCACAAACTGGTGAGATCTGAGTGACCTCTGGAACCTGGTTAAACGTGTGATGCCAGTGCAAAGTCTCTGGTTTTGAAAATGTGCCATACGCCGGGCGTGGTGGCTCACGCCTGTAATCCCAGCAGTTTGGGAGGCCGAGGCAGGCGGATCGCCTGAGGTCAGAAGTTCGAGACCAGCCTGGGCAACATGGCAAAACCTCGTTTCTACTAAAAAGAACAAAAAAAATTAGCCAAGAGTGGTGGCGGACACCTGTCATCCCGGCAACTCGGGAGGCTGAGGCAGGAGAATCGCTTGAACCCGGGAGGCAGAGGTTGCAGTGAGCCAAGATTGTGCCACTGCACTCCAGCCTGGCTGACAGAGATTCTGTCTCAAAAAAAAAAAAAAAAAAAAAAAGTACTGTAATTATAAGAGATTACCATTGGCCGGGCACAGTGGCTTATGCCTGTAATCCCAGCACTTTGGGAGGCTGAGGTGGGCGGGTCACTAGAGACCAGGAGTTCAAGACCAGCCTGGCCCACATGGTGAAATCCCATCTCTACAAAAAATTAGCTGGGTGTGGTGGTGCATGCTTGTAATCCCAGCTACTTGGGAGTCTGAGGCAGGAGAATCCTTAAACCCATGAGGCAGAGGTTGCAGTGAGCCGAGATCGCGCCACTGCACTCCAGCCTGGGTGACAGAGCAAGACTCTGTCCCCCCCGCCCCCCAAAAAAAGGTTAACATTGTGGGGAGCTGGCTAGTGGGTACACGGAAGCTATAAAGCTATAGGTATTAATGTTTGTTTGTTTGCTTGTTTGAGACAGTTTCACCGTTGTTGTCCAGGCTGGAGTGCAGTGGCACAATCTTGGCTCACAGCAACCTCCGCCTCCTGGGTTCAAGCCATTCTCCTGTCTCAGCCTCCGGAGTAGCTGGGATTACAGGCATGCGCCACCATGCCTGGCTAATTTTGTATTTTTAGTAGAGACGGGGGTTTCTCCATTTTGGTCAGGCTGGTCTTGAACTCCCGACCTCAGGTGATCCGCCCGCCTCAGCCTCTCAAGGTGCTGGGATTACAGGCGTGAGCCACCGCGTCCGGCCGGTATTAGTGTTTTAAAATAAAAAATTACATTTACAGAAAACTCTTGGCAGAACTTCAGATAAGGTAGGACAGAGCTCGGGCGGGTGGGGCCACACACACCGGATTCATGGGGAAGAAGTTATCATCGACGGCTTCTTGTTTCCTGAGTCGGTTGTGAGAAGGAAACTGCAAGAGTGGGGCAGAGAACCAGAGTGTCAGAGCAAAACCTCCTCTATCTGCACATCCTGGGGACGAACCGGGCAGCCGGAGAGCTGCGGCCGGCCCAGTCCCGCTCCGCCTTTGAAGGGTAAAACCCAAGGCGGGGCCTTGGTTCTGGCAGAAGGGACGCTATGACCGCAGAATTCCTCTCCCTGCTTTGCCTCGGTGAGTCTCCAGGACTGGGACGAATGGGCTTGGGCTGGTGAGAAAAACTCATGTGGGAGTGGCAGTCCAGGTGGAAATGCGGTGTGTGGAAGTAATGACTTCCAGGTGTTGCACACCTGCGGTGGGTGGGTCTGGGCTGTGGGTTCTGTGAGTTCTGCCGCCCACATGCAAGCGAGGAGGAGGCCGCGCTGCAGAGACACGGGGACAGACTCCGCTGGGAAAGGCAGAGCTGCTGTGGGGTCTCCGAGTCTGCAGCCGCTAAATACCGCAGTACTGCCATCATCCTCCGTCGGAATAGAGGAGGGCTGGGCTTAGGGATCTACAGGGTGCAAGGCTGTGGGCAAAAAGACAATTTTCTTCTCTCTCTCTCTTATTTATTTATTTATGTATGTATGCATTTATTTATGAGACAGAGTCTCACTCTGTAGCCCAGGCTGGAGTGCAATGGCGTGATCTGGGCTCACTGCAACCTCCGTCTCCCAGGTTCAAGCGATTCTCCTGCCTCAGCCTCCCGAGTAGGTGGGACTACAGGTGCAGGCCACCACACCCGGCTGACTTTTGTATTTTAAGTAGAGACGGGGTTTCACCATGTTGGTCAGGCTGGTCTCGAGCCCCTGACCTCAGGTGATCCGCCCGCCTCAGCCTCCCAAAGTGCTGGGATTACAGGCGTGAGCCACCACACCTGGCCCCAAGAAGACAATTTTCTGACCAGCTCGATTCTTAGGCTGATTTTAACCATCCTCCAATTGAACCTGATGTATTCAGACAGAGCTCACACTGTGAAACGGATGACCTGGGTTATAATCTCGGCTTTACTACATAGAAACTCTAGGCTTGACCCAGCAGAGCTCCACCTCCCTAAGGCCCCAGTTCCTCCCTGGTGCACGGGGGGTGCGGTGGACATCGACGTGCTTCGTCTGCTTCAGTTCCTTCCTCCTTTTCTGGGTGCAGCCCTTCCTTGTGGGGTAATGCTCGTCTCCTACACACATTTGCACCTTAGATGAGCATTTTTTTTTTTTTTTGACAGAGTCTTGCTTTGTCTCCCAGGCTGGAGTGCAGTGGTGTGATCTCAGCTCACTGCAACCTCCACCTCCTGGGTTCAAGCGATTCTCCTGCCTCCGCCTCCCGAGAAGCTGGGATTATAGGCACACGCCACCACGCCTGGCTAATTTTTTGTGTTTTTAGTAGAGATGGGGTTTCACCATGTTGGCCAGGCTGGTCTCAAACTCCTGAACTCAGGTGATCTACCCACTTCAACCTCCTAAAGTGCTGGGATTACAGGTGTGAGCCACTGCACCCGGCTATTTGTGCCTTAGAGATGACTATCGGGTTCATACCCAAGCCTCCAGCTGCTGAGCACAGTAAGCTGGGCAACCAGGAGACTGACCTCATCCCCCAATGGCTGCCATACCAAAGTACTACAAGCCTGGTGGCTTAAAGGAATTAGAATTGCTTTAAGTTGGGGAGATGAGAAGTCTGAAACCAAGGTGTTTGCAATGTTGATTCCTTCTGAGAACTATGAAGGAGCGTCTGTTTTATGCCCCTCTTCTAGTGATGGCTGACAATTCTTGGCATTTTTTTTTTTTCTTGAGGCGGAGTCTTGCTCTGTCACCCAGGCTAGAGTGCAGTGGCATGATCTTTCTCACTGCAACCTCCACCTCCTGGGTTCAATCAATTCTCCTGCCTTAGCCTCCCAAGTAGCTGGGATTACAAGCATGGACCACCATGCCTGGCTAATTTTTGTATTTTTAGTAGAGACAGGGTTTCACCACGTTGGCCAGGCTGGCCTCGAACTCCTGACCTCAGGTGATCTGCCCGCCTCAGCCTCCCAAACTGTTGAGATTACAGGCGTGAGCCAGCGCTCCCGGCATTCTTTAACTTGTAGATGCATCACTCCAATCGTTGGCTCTGTTTTTTTTTTTCTTTTCTTTAGACAGGGTCTCACTCAGTTGCCCAGGCCGGAGTGCAGTGGTACCACCATAGCTCACTGCAGCCTCAACCTCCTGAGCTCAAGCAGTCCTCCCCGCAGCCTTCTGAGCAGCTAGGACTACAGGTGCACACCACCATGTTGGACTAATTAAAATAATTTCTGTTTTAGAGATGGGATCTTGCTATATTGCCCAGGCTAGTCTCCAACTCCTGGGCTCAAGCAATTCTCCTATCTTGGCATCCCAAAGCACTATGATTGCAGCCTGGCCTCTCTGCCTCTGTCTTCGCATGGCCGTCTTCCTTCTGTGTGTCTCTGTCTCTCTTTTTCTCTTCTTGTAAGTTATATTGGATTAGATACCCAGCCTACTCTAGTATGACCTCATCTTAGTTTAATTAATTACATCTGCAAAGATCAGACAATGCTATTTTCAAATAAGGTCACATTCGCAGGTCCTGGGAGTTACAACTTGAACTTCTCTTTTCAAGAAACACAAATCAGCCAGGTGTGGTGGCTCACGCCTGTAATCTCAGGACTTTGGGAGGCCCAGGCGGGCAGATCTCTTGAGGTCAGGAGTTTGAGACCAGACTGGCCAACATGGTGAAACCCCGTCTCTACTAAAAATACAAAAATTAGCTGGGCATGGTGGCAAGGACCTGTAATCCCAGCTACTCGGGAGGCTGAGGCAGGAAAATCGCTTGAACCTGGGAGGCAGAGGTTGCAGTGAGCTAAGATAGCACCGCTGCCCTCCAGCCTGGGTGACAGAGGGAGACTCCATGTCAAAAAAAAAAAAAAAAAAAGAAAAGAAAAAGAATATGGGAATTGGGCTGGGTGCAGGTAGCTCACACCTGTAATCCCAGCATGTTGGGAGGCCAAGGTGGGAGAATCACTTGAACTCAGGTGTTCGAGACCAGCCTGGGCAACATCGTGAGTCCTCATCTCTACAAAAAAATTTTAAAATCAGCCAGCGTGGTGGTGCATGCCTGTAGTCCCAGTTATTTGGGAGGCTGAGATGGATGGATCACTTGAGCCCAGGAGGTTGAGGCTGCAGTGAGCTGTGACTGCACCCTGGCACTCCAGCCTGGGCCACAGAGTGAGACCCTGTCTCAAAAAGAAAAAAGAATATAGGAATCACTGTTTGAACAGACGATGGGTGGATAGCAGAGATGAGATGACATGAATCTAAAAGCGGGATTTGGGGAGGGTCTCAAAACAGAGCCTGAGTCCTGGGATGCCCTGCCCACCCAGAGGCTGTTTCCTACCTGCCAATCCCAGCTAATCTCGCTGCCAACGCAGCTTCGGTCCATCGTGAGGCCTCCACCTCATTCCTCTGTGGTGAAGCTTGGTGGGGGGTCACGTTCTGTATCGGCACCTGTGTCAACAAGGAACCAATGTCCTGAGACACTGTCGTGGCTCTAGAGAATTTCTACCTAAATTCTACGTAACTTCACCCTGAAACAAGCCCCATGACTGACATCCCATTTTCCACCCAAGTTTAAGACGCTACCTTCCCAGCGGGGAATGTAGAGAACAGAACACAGAAGAGGGAGGGGATAATGTAAGTGGAAACCAAAGCTAAAGTGAGGAGAGTATTTGGGACCAGAAGACACGGGGAAGGGGGAGCAGATTCTCTCTATTGGAATTGAGCAAGAAAACCCTCCTCTCGGCCGGGCGCGGTGGCTGATGCCTGTAATCCCAGCACTTTGGGAGTCCGAGGCGGGTGGATCACGAGGTCAGGAGATCAAGACCATCCTGGCTAACACAGTGAAACCCCGTCTCTACTAAAAATACAAAAAAATTAATTAGCTGGGCTTGGTGGCGGGTGCCTGTAGTCCCAGCTACTCGGGAGGCCGAGGCAGGAGAATGGCGTGAACCCGGGAGGCAGAGCTTGCGGTGAGCCGAGATCGCGCCACTGCACTCCAGCCTGGGTGACAGAGCGAGACTCCATCTCGAAAAATAAAAAAAAAAAAAAAACCCACCACTCTCACTCCACGATAAAATAACCTTTGCATTATTTAAGTGGCAAGGGTAAAACTGCAATCAGGCCGGGCACGGTGGCTCATGCCTGTAATCCCAGCGCTTTGGGAGGCTGAGGCGGGTGGATCACTTGAGCTCAGGAGTTTGAGACCAGCCTGGGCAACATGGTGAAACCCCATCTCTACAACAACAACAACAAAAATTAGCTGGGCACGATGGCACACACCTGTAGTCCCAGCTACTCTGGAGCCTGAGGTACGAGTATCACTTGAACCCAGGGGGTGGAGGAGGTTGCAGTGAGCTGAGACTGCACCACTGCACTCCAGCCTGGGTGACACAGCGAGACTCTGTCTCAAAACAAAACAAAACACTGCAATCACAGAAAATACCAGAAAAAAGCATAGGTGAATGTTGAACAATTTCTAGATGGTGAAAGGATTACTCATGAAAGCAATTCAATACATCAGAAAAGGTTGCTGGGCCGGGGGCAGTGGCTCACGCCTGTAATCCCAGCACTTTGGGAGGCCGAGGCGTGTGGATCACCTGAGGTCAGGAGTTCAAGACCAGCCTGGCCAACATGGTGAGACCCTGTCTCTACTAAAAATGCAAAAATTAGCCAGGTGTGGTGGCGGGTGCCTGTAGTCCCAGCTACTCGGGAGGCTGAGGCAGGAAAATTGCTTGAACCTGGGAGGCGGAGGTTGCAGTGAACTGAGATCATGTCATTGCACTCCAGCCTGTGCAACAGAGCAAGACTACATTTCAAAAAAAAAAAAAAAAAAAGAAAGAAGAAGTTGCTGGAATTTTCTCCATACACGTAGCTTCTGAATGACAAACAATGGAACAAAAGTAAGAGGTAAGTCTGGGGAGATATCTGCCAAAAATATATACATATATGTAATACATATATTTAATATATATATTATATTTATATATGTATTATATGTAATATGTGTACATATACTTAATACATTTATTATATATAATACATATATACATTATATATATATATATATCTCAGACCTATAAAGAGCTAGTCATACGTTCTCTGCTGGATTTGTACTCAAGGACAAGCACATAATTTTTCTCTCATTGAGATTTCTCTTCCAGGGCTGTGTCTGGGCTACGAAGATGAGAAAAAGAATGGTGAGTTTTCTCCTACTTAAACTTTTATTCCTGCATCCCACGCTTCATGACCTTTTCCTTTAATCGTCTGAATTCTAGACTCAAATTAACTCTGAATTGTTTCCAGAGAAACCGCCCAAGCCCTCCCTCCACGCCTGGCCCAGCTCGGTGGTTGAAGCCGAGAGCAATGTGACCCTGAAGTGTCAGGCTCATTCCCAGAATGTGACATTTGTGCTGCGCAAGGTGAACGACTCTGGGTACAAGCAGGAACAGAGCTCGGCAGAAAACGAAGCTGAATTCCCCTTCACGGACCTGAAGCCTAAGGATGCTGGGAGGTACTTTTGTGCCTACAAGACAACAGCCTCCCATGAGTGGTCAGAAAGCAGTGAACACTTGCAGCTGGTGGTCACAGGTGAGAAGGGCAGATGTACTCTTTGATGCACACATTTCTTTGGTTTGGCTTTGCTTTTTTTTTTTTAAGACAGAGTCTTGCTGTGTCTCCCAGGCTGGAGTGCAGTGGCACGATCTCGGCTCACTGCAACTTCTGCCTCCTGGGTTCAAGCAATTCTCCCTCCTCAGCCTCCCGAGTAGCTGGGACTACAGGCGCCCGCCACCACGCCCAGCTAATTGTTTGTGTTTTTAGTAGAGATGGGGTTTCGCCATGTTAGCCAGGATGGTCTCCATCTCCTGACCTTGTGATCCACCTGCCTCCGCCTCCCAAAGTGCTGGGATTACAGGCATGAGCCACCGCGCCCGGCCTAATTTTTGTATTTTTAATAAAGATGAGGTTGTACCATATTGGTGAGGTTGATCTCAAACTCCTGACCTCAAGTGATCCATCTGCCTCGGCCTCCCAAAGGGCTGGGATTATAAACGTGAACCTCCACACCCAGCCTTTTTTTTTTTTTTGAGAGGGAGTCTTGCTCTGTTGCCCAGGCTGGAGTACAGTGGCATGATCTCAGCTCACTGCAACCCCCGCCTCCTGGGTTCATGCAATTCACCTGCCTCAGCCTCCCGAGTAGCTGGAACTACAGGGGTGCGCCACCACACCTGGCTAATTTTTGTATTTTAGTAGAGACAGGGTTTTACCATGTTGGCCAGGCTGATCTCGAACTGCTGACCTCAAGTGATCTGCCCACCTCAGCCTCCCAAAGTGCTGAGATTACAGGAGTGAGCCACTGCGCTCGGCTGCTTTTTTTTTTTTTGACAGAATCTCGCTCTGTCACCCAGGCAGGAGTGCAGTGGCATGAACACAATTCACTGCAGCCTCGACCTCCCAGGCTCAAGCGATTTTCCCACATCAGCCTCCCAAGTAGCTGGGAGTACAGGCAAGCACCACCATGCCTGGCTAATTTTTAAATTACTTGTTGAGACAGGATCTATGTTGCCCAGGCTGGTCTTGAACTCCTGAGCTCAGGTGATCCTCCTGCCTTGGCCTCCCAAAGTGCTGGGATTACAGGCGTGAGTCACCAAAGCCTGCCTGATGCACGTATTTCTTTTCCTGTCGTGGGACATGGCTGGGGAAGAAGGAATCTAGGAGACAAAAAGATAGATGCAGGCCAGGCACGGCGCGGTGGCTCATGCCTGTAATCCCAGCACTTTGGGAGGCAGAGGTGGGCAGATCACTTGAGGTCGGGAGTTCGAGACCAGCCTGGCCAACATGGTGAAACCTCACCTCTACTTAAAATACAAAAATTAGCTGGGCGTGGTGGCAGGCGCCTGTAATCCCAGCTACTAGGGAGGCTGAGGCAGGAAGAGAATCTCTTGAGCCCAGAAGGCAGAGGTTGTAATGAGCTGAGATTGTGCCACTGCACTGCAGCCTGGATGAAAGAGCAAGACTCCGTCTAAAAAAAAAAAAGAAGAAGAAGGATAGATGCAACACCTTCAATGTGGAAATGGGAACCGAATGTGGAGCAAGATTCTCATCAGAGATTCTGAGAGGGTCCCAATGATGTGGATGTGGGAGGGTGGTGTAGAATATGGTCAGTTAATAGAAAATTGGGGTATGGTAAGACTGACAGACCAAGTGATGATTGCCATGGAAAAGATGGTCTGTTACAGTTCCCAAGAGGAGGAGGAAGGCTATACTGGGGGGAGTATGTGGGGAAGCACCAGGGTCAATGAGGGGCAGAGGGAGGAGGAAGAACTGTGGACCAGAGCTTTGATTGTATTTTGTGGGGAGAACAAGATTAGAGTTGGCCAGGTGTGGTGGTTCATGCCTGTAATCCTAGCACTTTGGGAGGCCTAGGAGGGTGGATCACCTGAGGTCAGGAGTTTGACATCAGCCTGGGTAACATGGCGAAACTCCATCTCTACAAAAATACAATAATTACCTGGGTGTGGTGGTGTGCACCTGTGCTTTCAGCTACTCGGGAGGCTGAGGCACGAGAATTGCTTGAACCCCAGAGGCAGAGGCTGCGGTGAGCCAAGATCGTGCCACTGCACTCAAGCCTGGGTGATAGAATGAGAACCTGTCTCAAAAAAAAAAAAAAAAAAAAAAAAAGAAAAGAAAAGAAAAGAAAGAAAGAAAAGAAAAACAAAAAAAGAATTGGCTTTGGGGTGTAGAGGCTGTCCCTGGTTGTCTAGTTCTTGGACCTGGGGTGATTAGGAGAGGACAACATTGACCTTGAGTGTGAGAGCCCCATAATTAAGGTGGTTGAGAGTATGGGCTCTGGATCTATTGGCTTGCATTTGAGGGACATCCTTGAGGACAAGTTGTTTACTGGCTCTAGAAATTAACTAACCCTGCGAGGGGAGGTCCCACCAAGGGCAGCAAGGCCCCAAGATGTTAAAGCATCAAATGCAGAAGATGAAAGACATGGTTAATACGGAGAGATGGATGAGATAGTCCCCAAGTGCAGTAGAAAATGGAAAAGCCCTGGCCCTTCTCTTTACCTCCATTGCCTTGTCCTCTTCAGGATCACTCCCAGAACCTTTGCTCTCAGTCAATGTAGACCCTGGGATGACTCCAGGTCTCAGGACACTTCGATGTCTCACTCCATACAATGGAACCGAATGTATTGTAATTGCTCTGTTGAAAATGGGGATCCCAGAACCATTACAAGTCAGGCAAGTAAGAAAAAACCAGACTGATTTCATGCTCTGGAACGTGACAAGTAATGACAGTGGAAACTACAGCTGTGTGTATTACCTGAGCAACTCATCACACTTGGCCTCCTTCCCCAGCAACAAGCTGGAGATCTGGGTGACAGGTGAGGATAGAGTGATAACACTGGCATTTGACATGTATCCAGCATTTTCTATGTTCCTGTCTCCACGACAGGTAACTTGCCTCCACTAACTCATTCAGTCTTCACTTCCTATGAGGGTGGTTGTGTTACTAACTTCTTTTTGCTCATAGAGATTAGGTGACCTCCCCGGTGTCACAAAAACAATGAGCTTCACAGTTGCTATTCAGACATAAATGAAAATTTATATTTCATTATGCCAGAGAAGGAAAGCCAGAAAGAGTGTCCAGTGCTCTATGAGGGATGTAGGAATGGCAAATAATGGATTGTGGGGCTAAGAGATCCCATTGTGTGGAAAAGTATGGGAGGCACGGTGCAGGTAACTGAAAAAAAAATGATGAGGACCACAGTGAGAAGATGCACGTGGGAGGATTGTAACATACATGACTTGAGATCCCAAGGAAGAGGGATAAAGAATAATTTTGCATCACTTTCATCTACCCATTTATCTACTCACCCATCCATCTATCAATCTACCCACCCATCTATCAACCCACCCACCCATCTACCCACCTACCAACCCATCCACCCTCCTACCCACTCATTCACCCATCCATCCACTCACTTATCCATCTATCCATCAACTCATCCATCCATCCATCCATCCATCCATCCATCCATTCATCTATCCATTAATCCATCCAACCACCAACCCTTCCATTCATCTGTCCACCCACCCCTTCATCCATCTATCTACCTACCTACCCATCTATTTACCCAGCCACTCATTTGTCCATCCTTCCACCCATTCATCCACTCATCCACCCTTTCACCCATTCACTCACCCCCACCCACCTATCCATCTATCCATCCATCCATCCATCCATCCATCCATTCATCCATTCATTTATTAGTCACTAAACAATACCTCTCAACTGACCACAGTTGCTTCCAGTAGGTCAGTCCTGCCATATCATGGGAAATCCCTGGAGAGACTTTACAGTCATCAGTGTAGTGTAGAAGTAGCCGTGGGTCCACACCAATGACTTAGCCTGGGCTTGGGGCATGATGAGTAACTGAATACTTAATGTTTCACCTCTGATTTACCCTCTTTCTGAGGCTCTTGATCAATGATACTCCAACAAGGTGCTCATCACTTTGATATTGATTTCAAATTGTATTCCCCATAACTCGTTCTTGTAGTCTTAAGAATTTCTGCACCCACACTTTAGCCCTAAAAGCCTCGCGATTATTTGCCATTTCCCAATTATGTTCTCTGGCATATCATCTACTGTTTCCTGATTTCTTCACCTCTATCGCAGCTGTACCATTACATCACAAGACAGGCTATAGTATCAATTTCCAGTGGTTGATTTTCCAGGTCAGCCTTCCATATACAATCTGTTTGCTGCTTTGCAAATCACTTTATTATACTACTTTTTACTTTTTTATTATACTACTTTTTACTTATTACAAAATGGGCATATAAATGCTTCCATTACAAAAAAAAATTAATGCAAAATACCTGGCACAAAAATAGCTGCCCATTCACCCTACAAATTCAGATACTTTGGTAGATCCTGAGCATATTGTAGGAACTGAGACAGACCAGGTCTCTGGCCAACAGGAGCTCACATTCTTCTTTGGAAGAAAGAAAGAAATAAGAGCAAGCTATCAGAGTAATTAAAAAACACATTATAGATGGAGAATAACTGTGAGAGGCATTGTATTAGTGATCTACAGCTGCATAACAAATTACCACTAATTTAGCAGCCTGAAACACCTATTTATTATCTCACAGTTGATGTGGGTCAGGAGTCCAGGCACAGCTTAGCTGAGTCCTCTGCTTTGGGTCTCATAAGGATGCAATCAAGGTGTCAACAAGGGCTGTGTTCTCATCTGGCTCATCTGGAGGCTTGACTGGGGAAGGGTCCATTTCTCCACTCCTGTGGTTGATAGCAATATCTGGTTCTTTATAGCTGTAGGATTCATGCTAGAATGATTCTGCAGCACTTGCAAGAAGAGAGATTGAGAGAGAGAGAAGAAAGAGAGAGCAAATGCCCTAGCAAACAGAGTTTTATGTAATGTAACATAATCAAGAGCATAACATCCCATCACCTTTGCCATAGCTATTGGTGAGAAGAAAGTCACAGATCTCCACACTCAAGGTGAGGGGATTAGACAAAGGCATGAACACCAGGAAGCAGGGCTCCTGAGTCTCCTGAGTGCCCCCTTAGGGTCTATCTGCCACAAGCATGAAGGATGAGAATGACCCAACCACACCGATATCTGGAGAACAGCCCTCCAGGGAGAGAGAGCAGCAAAAGCAAAGTCTCAGAAGTGTGAGTGTTCCTGGAATGATTGAGACACAGAAAGGAGGACATAAGGCAGGGCCTAGAGCATCTAGGATCTTGTGGGTGTTTGAACTGGTCCTAGAGTCTGCTTTGAAAGAACAGGAACCCACTGATGAAGTTGAGCTGGAGGATGGCATGATTTTATTTATATGCTGGAAGGGTCACTGGCTGCTTTTTTTTTTTTTTTTTTTTTTGAGACAGGGTCCCACTCGGTTGCCCAGGCTGGAGTGCAGTGGTGCAATCACAGCTCACTGCAGCCTTGACCTCCCAGGCCCAGGTAATCCTCCCACCTCAGCCTCCCAAGCATCTGAGATTACAGGCACAGGCCATCATGCCCGGCCTCTGGCTGCTTTTGGAAAATAAGGGACTAGATGTAGTAAGAGTTGGTGCGTTTCAGGCAATACGACTTTTTAAATTTAAAAATATCAAATTGACAAATGAAGATTGTATATATTCAAGGTATACAATCTGATGATTTGATCCACCTGTACATTGTGTAATGATTATCACAGTCAAATTAATTAGCACATCCATTGCCACCATGCTGAGCACCTGAACTTCTTCATCTTAGAACTGGAAACTTATACCCTTTCATCAACATCTCCGCATATATCATGCTAAACAAAATAAGCCAGACTCAGAAAGACAAATTCTGCAGGATCTCACTCATATGTGTAGTCTAAAAAAGCCAAACTCACAGAAGCAACTGGTGGTTGCCAGGGACTGGTGAGTAGGTGATATTTCATTTCATTTTTATTTTTATTTTTATTTTTTTTTTGAGACGGAGTCTGGCTCTGTCCCTCAGGCTGGAGTGCAGTGGCGCGATCTCGGCTCACTGCAAGCTCCGCCTCCCGGGTTCACGCCATTCTCCTGCCTCAGCCTCCCGAGTAGCTGGGACTACAGGGGCCCGCCACCACGCTCGGCTAACTTTTTGTATTTTTAGTAGAGACGGGGTTTCACCATGTTAGCCAGGATGGTCTCGATCTCCTGACCTTGTGATCTGCCCGCCTCGGCCTCCCAAAGTGCTGGGATTACAGGCGTGAGCCACTGCGCCCGGCCAAGTAGGTGATATTTTAACTTAGACTAAATGGTGCCACTGTGGAGATAGAAATATAGGCCAGGTGCAGTGGCTCATGCCTGGAATCCCAGTATTCTGAGTGGCCAAGGCAGGTTGATCACTTGAGGCCAGGAGTTTGAGACCAGCCTGGCCAACATGGTGAAACCCTGTCTCTACTAAAAATACAAAAATTAGCAGGGTGTGGTGGCGGGCGCCTGTAGTCCCAGCTACTTGGAAGGCTGAGGCAGGAGAATCTCTTGAACCCGGGAGGCGGAGGTTGCAGTGAGCTGAGATCATGCCACTGCACTCCAGCTTGGGTAACAGTGCAAGACTCAAAAAAAATAAAAGAAAGAAAGAATTTGGGTGAATGGTGTTCTTTGTCAAGATAGAGAAGACTGGCAAGGAATCAAACTGGAGGGGGCGTTAGCAGGGTCATTCATAAATATTTTTGTTATTAAAAATACTATCAAACTCCAGGACTATTAAGAAGAGTAATCTGAGGCTCTGTCCATGCTCTGAGGACCCAGGGAGCATCTAGGGAATGGAGAAGCCATTCTCTTTTCTGCTTCCCAAAGAAGAACAGGATGTCTATAAGTAGGACGTGAGGACTCCTGTCCCCAAGGTTCCTGTATGATTAGTGTAATTCCTTTTCTTCCCTCCTATTTTCTAGATAAACACGATGAACTTGAAGCTCCCTCAATGAAAACAGGTAAGATAATTAGAAAGGAGATGTTTTTCCCAATGAGATCTGCTTCATGATCACCTTTGCTTAAAGTGCACAAGGAGAACTTTATTTATTTGTTTGTTTGTTTGTTTGTTTGTTTTTTGAGATAGAGTCTCGCTTTGTCACCAAGGCTGGAGTACAGTGGCGCAATCTCAGCTCACTGCAACCTTCGCCTCCCGGATTCAAGCAATTTTCCTGCCTCAGCCTCCCGAATAGCTGGGACTACAGGCACGCACCACCACACCCAGCTAATTTTTGTATTTTTAGTAGAGACGGGGTTTCACCATGTTGGCCAGGCTGGTCTCGAACTCCTGACCTTGTGATCTGCCCGCCTCAGCCTCCCAAAGTGCTGGGATTACAGGCGTGAGCCACCGCACACGGCCTATTTATTTTTTTGAGAAAGAGTCTTGTTCTGTCCCCCAGGGTGGCGTGAAGTGGCACAATCTCAGCTCACTGCAACCTCCACTTCCTGGGTTCTGGGTTCAAGCAATTCTCCTGCCTCGGCCTCCCGAATAGCTGGGATTACAGGCACCCACCACCATATCCAGCTCAGTTTTGTTTTTTGTTTTTTGTTTTTAGTAGAGATGGGGTTTCACCATGTTGGCCAGGCTGGTATCAAACTCCTGACCTCAAGCAATTCCCCCGCCTCGGCCTCTCAAAGTGTTGGGATTACAGGCATGAGCCACCGCACCCGGCCTAGAAGAACTTTAAAGCCCATTTTCTCAATGTTATTGGGGAAACTGCTGTGTTTTGGGGGGTGGAGGATGAGGGGAGATAACCTCTAAAGTGCTTCCGGGTTCTGAAGAAGCTGGTGTGTAAAACAGCACAGAGTGCGTTGTTTGCCATATGACATGATGAAAAACTAGGGTGGGATTTGGGGAATAATGGGGGTGAATTTTTCAGTGACCCATTTGGGGAGTAGGACCAGGACCTACGCAGAGTAGGTACTTCAGGAATATATATAATCAAGAGTTTGTTATAACTCTAAAATTCTCAAAAATAGGTGAATATTGAATTTTTTTTCTAATGTTGCTTATTCATTAACAATTGACTAAGATTCTGTCCTCAGAGTTTCTCATAAAAATTAGAGCTTTTGGGCCAGGCGAGGTGGCTCACATCTGTAATCCCAGCACTTTGGGAGGCCGAGGTGGGCGGATCACCTGAGGTCAGGAGTTCGAAACCAGCCTGGGCAACATGGTGAAACCCTGTCTCTACTAAAAATACAAAAATTTGCTGGGCATTGTGGTGGGCGCCTGTATTCCCAGCTACTCAAGTGACTGAGGCAGGAGAATTGCTTGAACCTGGGAGGCAGAGGTTGCAGTGAGCCGAGATTACACCACTGCCCTCCAGCCTGGGCAACAGAGTGAGACTCTGTCTCCAAAAAAAAAAAAAAAAAAAAAAAATTAAAAAGTTAGAGCTTTTGGCAGCATTCGGCTGAAACAGGAACTCATCCAGACTTTAAGGGCCAAATGCAGAATATAAATTGGCATCTAGATGCTTAATCATCCTTCCTTTCAGCAAGTCATAATCTTCCTGCAACCTACTCCAAAGAGCCAAAGTTGCTGAAGGTTGTTGCTAGCAGTCTGTGCTGGTATAATCGGTTTTCAAAAAGGTATCCTCCAAAGTGTTCTTGCAAGATAACTATTTGAAACGTTTTTATTCCATGATAGTAGGCTTGGGAAATGTCTGCTACCCTAGCACTACGAACACAATTCACGTCAGGAACGTTTTCTGAGAAAGATATGAAATCTAATGGGAGAGAGGAACACAGAAGTATCAGAAACGAGGTGGGAGATCTAGTGAGGTGTGAGGGGGAGGAGGAAGAGAAGCTTTTCTATTTTGAGCTCTTGTATCATTTATTTTCTTTCTTTTTTTATTGATATATAATTCACAGTCCAAAAATTCACCCTTGTAAAGTGTCCAATTCACTGGCATTTTGTATCTTCATGAGGTAGTATAACCATCACCACTACATAATTCCAGAACATTCTCATCACCCTAAAAGAAAATCTTGTACCCATTAAGCAGTCACTCCTCATTTCCCACTTTCCCACCAGGCCCTTCCAACCATTCATATGCTTCTCTGTGTCTATGATTTTGTCTATTCTGGACATTTTGTGTAAGTGGATTCATACACTATGTGATCCTTTGTGACTAGCTCCTTTCTCTTTAGCATAATGTTTTCAAAGTTTGTCTGTACTGTAGCATGCATCAATGTTTCATTTCTTGTCATGGTGAAAAGCATCGTATTGTATGGATAGACCACATTTTGCTTATCCATTCTTTTTTTTGTTTTTGTTTTTGTTTTTTTGAGACGGAGTCTTGCTCTGTCGCCCAGGCTGGAGTGCAGTGGCACAATCTCAGCTCACTGCAACCTCCGCCTCCCAGGTTTAAGTGATTCTTTTGCCTTAACCTCCTGAGTAGCTGGACCTACAGGCGCCCGTCACCATGCCTAGCTAATTTGTGTATTTTTAGTAGAGAGGGGGTTTCACCATGTTGGCTAGGCTGGTCTCGAACTCCTGACCTCAGGTGATCCACACGCCTCAGCTTCCCAAAGTGCTGGGATTACAGACTTGAGCTACTGTGCCTGGCCCCGTTCTTCTTTTGATGGACATTTGTGTTGTCTGCACCTCTTGGCTAAAGCGAGTAATGGTGCTGGAACACTGTGGTAGGAGTATCTGTTTGTCTCCGCGCTGTAAATTATCTTGAGTATGTACCTAGAAGTGGATTTGCTAGGACATATGGTGACTATTATGTTCAACTTTTTGAGGAACTGCCAAATCATTTTCCATTGTGGCTGTATCATGTTATATTCCTTCCAGTAATATATGTGGGTTCCAATATCTCCACATCCTTGTCAACACTTACTTTTCTTTTTTTAAATTATAGCCATCCCAGTGGGTATTATATAATTTCTTAAAATGTACTTTTTGAGTTCAAATTTGTATCATCACAATTCTAAACAGAATAAAATATCTTTGCCGGGCGCAGTGGCTCACGTCTGTAATACCAGGACTTTGGGAAGATGAGGCAGGAGGATCACTTGAGCCCAGGGGTTCAAGACCAGCCTGGACAACTTGGTAAGATCCCATCTCTACAAAAAATACAAAAATTAGCCAGGCGTGGTGGTGTGCACCTGTAGTCCCAGCTACTTGGGAGGCTCAGGCAGAAAGATCGTTTGCGCCCAGGAGGTTGAGGCTTCAGTGAACTGTGATTGCGCCACAGCACTCCAGCCTGGGTGACAGAGCGAGACCCTGTTTCAGTAAATAAATAAAATAAAAGTAAAATATCTGTAAGCACAGGTATGATGTCCCCAGCCTGTATTTATATGCCTAAAACACACTAGAAAACGACTCTATGTTCAATCGCAATGTAGAGAATGAAGATGAATTTTATCACACAAGACTTGACTTTCTTTCTGGTGCCTGTGCCTCCATTTATGCCCCGTGTCAGGCTGTATCTTGTTGCTCACGCTGACTTTAGTAGCGTAGCAAGTTATGATTTATTCTGGCAATTTGCAAATACTGATGCAACATTTGGCCAGGATCTGTGGACATCTCAGGGTGAACCCAGTTCAGCTGATTATGGGGTCATATGAAGATGAGAATTTTGCAATAATGTACTTCTCATTTCTAGTGAATTGCTGTGTGAAAGATACCGTAGGCTGGAAAAGGGGAGAACAGAAAGGACAAGGCAAGGCTGCTGTTTCTCTGCTTCCATCTGGGGAAACTGAGAGTCCAGGAGCAGCTGTTCCTGCCCTGTTTTCATAAGTCCTTGGAGATGCACTGATAGAATTGTTGCTTATGGCCAGGCATGGTGGCTTATGTAATCCCAGCACTTTGGGAGGCCAAAGTGGGCAGAACACTTGAGCTCTGGAGTTTGAGACCAGCCTAACCAACATGGTGAAACCTCATCTCTACTAGAAATATAAAAAATTAGCGGGGTGAGGTGGCGGGTGCTTGTAATCCCAGCTCCTTGGGAGGCTGAGGCAGGAGAATTGCTTGAACCCCAGAGGGGGAGGTTCCAAAGCCGAGATTGTACCACTGCACTCCAGCCTGGGAGACAGAGTGAGACTGTCTCAAAAAAAAAAAAATTGTTGCTTTTGAGGGGTTCTCTGATTCAGCTCCACCAGAAGCAGGCTCTTAGACAGCATTAGTGTGAAAGTGACGTTTTATTTTATTTATTATTTATTTAGTTTTGAGACAGAGTTTCGCTCTTGTTGCCCAGGCTGGAGTGCAATGGCGTGATCTTGGCTCACTGCAACCTCCGCCTACCAGGTTCAAGAGATTCTCCTGCCTCAGCCTCCCAAATAGCTGGGATTACAGGCATGCACCACCACACCCAGCTAATATTCTATTTTTAGTAGAGACGGGGTTTCTCCATGTTGGTCAGGCTGGTCTCGAACTCCTGACCTCAGGTGCTCTGCCTGCCTCGACCTCCCAAAGTGCTGGGATTACAGGTGTGAGCCACCACGCCTGGCTTGAAAATTACATTTTAGGGAGTGGGGAAGAAGGGCTGGGAGGAAAATAGATTAAACAAGTGTGGGATATCTGTGTCCCTCAGATGGTATCTTTGGCTCCATCCTGCAGAAAGCAGTGGAGACAGAGAAGGTCGAAGACCAGAGGCTAGGGAGCTGGGGTCCCCACAGCCGTCAGTGGCAGTTTGTCCCGGGCATGTAAATTCCAAGGCATTTGGAGTTCTCCCAGGCAGTCCCCCAAAGAAGAGATACAAATGTTCACTTTGGAAAGGGAAAGAAGCCACGATCTAGAATGCATAAAAATGGGAAAGGGATCTGGGGAACATGGGTTGAGGAACATTGACAGAATCTATTACAGAGAGAGATGGGTGTAGGTGGAATATTGGGTGAAAAAAAATCATCATTATACCTACAATCCCATTATCCGACACAATGAGTCAGTTTCTAGACTGAGCGCTTTAAAGCCAGGATTTTTCATCATTACCTAACTCTTCAAGTTAGATATTATTAGCTCTCTGCCCCCTCCTTATATTTAACCAAAAAATAACGTATTCCAGAAAGGGAAGGGAACATTTACAAAGTCAGGAGGTAGGAGACCCAGTACTAGAACTCAAATATGTCTTGTTTCAAACTCCCCACTCCTTTTGCTGCTCCCTGATGATCAGCTCAGAAAGAACCTTATTTCAGGGAGGGGGATAGATAGATAATTAGATGTGATAGATAATAGGCAAGTAGGCAGATAAATAGATAACTAGATATGATAGATTAGATAGATACATAGATGATAGGTAGATAAGTAGCTAGATACGATGGACAGATTAGATAGATAGACAGATGATAGGTAAGTAGGTAGATAGATAACTAGATACAACAGGTTAGATAAGTAAGTAGATAGATAACTAGATATGATAGATTAGATAGATAAATAGACGATAGGTAAGTAGGTAGATAGATACAGATAGATTAGCTAGCTAGCTAGATGATAGATAACTAGATATAATAGATAAGATAGATGATTAGATAGACAGATAATTAGATATGATTGATAGATACATTAGATAGATGATAGATTAGATAGATAGATGATAGGTAACTAGGTAGCTAGATAAAGCTAGCTAGATAGATAGATAGATATACAGATACACAGATAGATACATAGATACCTAGATAGGTGATAGAGTTGCAAGATAGAAAAATTAGATAAGTAGGTGGATAGATAGATAGATAACTAGATAGAATAGATTAAATAGATAATAGTAGGTGAATAGACAGATACATACAGATGATAGATGATAGATGATAGATAACTGGTTATGATTGATAGATACATTAGATAGATGATAGATTTGGTAACTAGATGATAGGTAAGTCGGTAGATAGATAAGTGATAATTAGATATGATAGGATGGATAGATTAGACAGACAGCAGGTAAGCAGGTGGATAGACAGATAAAGATAGATACATAGATGCCTAGATAAGTGATAGATTAACAAGATAGAAAAATTAGACAGACAGATAGTTAATTACATATGATAGGATAGATAGATTGGATAGGTGATAGGCAAGTAGGTAGATAGATAAATCATAATTAGATAGGACGGATAGATTGGATAGATGATAGGTAAGTAGGTACAGAGACAGATAAAGATAGATAGGTAGATAGATAATAGATACCTAGACAGATGGTAGATAGATTAGCGAGATAGATAAATTAGATAGGTAATTCTCTATATATAGATATGTAGAAATGCCAATGCAAACATAGCGAACCAAGTAGGGGAAGCGTCTGGATGGGAGACCCTCTGTTGGTGCAGAGGACCAGGCGTGTGAAGCATCTCAGACTTGGCTCTGTAATGTGACCACAGATCATTGCACACCTAGGAAAAATTCTCAGACTCAAAGCACACTAACAAAGATAGCGGGGGTCTTGGTGAAGCCCCTTTCTGGGGCCTCACTTCTATAGTTGCTCAACTTTTTTCCTTAATCACGTTTCTGCTACTTACTCCTTAAAGTCTCACGACTTGTGTTTCTTGAATCTAAAGTGCCAAGAAAAACAAAAAACGGGGGGGAACTGCATGGACTCTGTCGCCTAGCTTTAGTAACAGGTTGCTCTCTCTTCCTCAACGCTGTGAGCTTTGGACACAACCCTTGCTGTAATCCCAGGAGTCACACGGGAATGCATGCCCTTCACCAGTGGGAGGGAAATAATTGTACTACCTTGCAGGGTTGTTGTTAAGACTTTAAAACGCTATGATGTAGACTTGCATGGCAATATTGCTCAAGAACTAGTTTTTTTTGTTTTGTTTTGTTTTTGTTTTTTAATTGGTAGAAATTTTATCTCCTGAGAGGGATGCTTTTTTGAGTTGGAGTCTTGGTCAGTTGAGTGTATGATGCAGTGATGCGATCTCGGCTCACTGCAACCTCCGCCTCCCAGGTTCAAGCAATTCTCTTCTCTCAGCCTCCTGAGTAGCTGGGACTACAGGCGTGCGCCACCATGCCCAGCTTATTTTTTATATTTTCAGTAGAGACAGGGTTTCACCATGTTGGCCAGGCTGGTCTCGAACTCCAGACCTCAAGTGATCCACCTACTTCACTCTCCCAAAGTGCCAGGATTACAGGCGTGAGCCACCGTGCCCGGCCACTGGTCATTCTTTTCTACCCTGCTCTAACCCTGTTCTTATTAGGAATCCTCCCTGAATTCTCCCAGCTGATCCCTTGTTCTGTGTCTTGGGGAATCATGTCTCCTTCAGAGAGCCCCACCCCTCCCCACTCTAAACGCCTTCCATGCCCGTGTCACTGCTGTTCATTACCTGGCATCAACGAGCTCATTGAAGTGTGTTTGAAGTTGGCTGGGCGTGGTGGTCTGTACTCCCAGCTACCCTGGAGGCCGAGTGAGGAGGACCACTTGAGCCCAGGAATTCGAGTATGATCACACCACTGCACTCTAGCCTGGGCAACAATGGGAACCCATTGGCACATCTGGGATTGGCATCCTGAGCTCCCATCTGTGACCTCCCTCCTCTCCCCTCCTCTCCCCTCCATTGCCCTCACCCTCTCCCCATAATCTTCACATCCCGTCCTTTCACATCTCTCTCTCTCCTTTAAAAAAAGAAAAAGGAAATATGTTTGAAGTTAAGAGCTGAGATCATGTCTGTGTTAGCCAGGGTTTTCCAGAAAAACAGAACCAATAGAACATATAGATATAAGCTGGGTGTGGTGGCTCACGCCTGTAATCCCAGCACTTTGGGAGGCCGAGGCAGGCAGATTGCCTGAGGTCAGTAGTTCAAGACCAGCGTGGCCAACATGGCGAAACCCCGTCTCTACTAAAAATACAAAAATTAGCCGGGCGTGATGGTGGGCACCTGTAATCCCAGCTACTCAGGAGGCTAAGGCAGGAGAATTGCTTGAACCCGGGAGGCGGAGCTTGCAGTGAGCCAAGATTGCACTATTGCACTCCAGCCTGGACGATAAGAGTGAGACTTTGTCTCAAAAAAAAAAAAGAGAACATATACATGTATATACATATATGGAGAGAGAGATTGATTTTAATGGATTGGTTCACGTGATTGTGGGGAGCTGGCAAGTCTGAAATCTGCAGGGCAGGCAGGCAGGGGATCCAGGGGAGACTTGATATTGCAGCTTGAGTCTGGAGGCAGAATTCCTTCCACCTTGGGGGACCTCAGTCTTTTCTCTTAAAGTCTTAAAGTCTTCAACTGATTGGATGAGGCCCACCCCTATGACAGTGGGTCATCTGCTTTACTCAAAGTCTATTGGTCGAAATGTCCAGCTCCAAGGAAGTTCCAGCTCCAAGGTGGGAGATCCAGGCTTGGAAGCCAGGCCATCTGTCTGGCTTCTCTTAGCTTTTCTACTCACCCCATCAGTGGATTTCAGACAGTGATTACACAGACAGATGTGGTGGCTCACGCCTGTAATCCCAACTACTCAGGAGGCTGAGTCAGGAGAATTGTTTGAACCAGGGAGGTGGAGGTTGCAGTGAGCCAGGATCACACTCCAGCCTGGGTGACAGAACACGACTCCATCTCAAAAAAAAAAAAGTGTGTATATATATATATATATGTATATATATATATATATATATATATATATATACACATTTATATATACACACACATATATATACATTTATATATATATATACACACACACACACGTATATATATATATGGAGCACCTGGAACAGAGCTGGCTCACAATAAATGATCAATATCATTGCTATGCACCAAACATTCCCTGGGAATTTTTGGAATTTCCTATGCGCCAAGCACTGTTCCAGCCCTTTCTATAGGTACTGACCCACCATCCAATAAAGTAGCTACTGCTGCTATCCTCACTTTACAGATGGGGAAACAGAAGCTTGGAGAAGATTAAGGAAATTCCCCAAAGCAATAGGAAGTTCCAGCTCCGAGGTGGGAGATCCAGGCTTGGAAGCCAGGCCATCTGTCTGGCTTCTCTTAGCTTTTCGGCTCGCCCCTATCAGTGGATTTCAGGAGCCAGGCTGATTCCCTGACCTGCTCTTCCCCCTCCAGACACCAGAACCATCTTTGTCGCCATCTTCAGCTGCATCTCCATCCTTCTCCTCTTCCTCTCAGTCTTCATCATCTACAGATGCAGCCAGCACAGTGAGCTCAGAGAACGCAAAGGGAGAGAGGGGGAGTGAAGGATTTTCTCGGTAGGTAAATTCCTCCTGCATTTTTTGTAGGTTCATCATCTGAGGAATCCACCAAGAGGTAGATGCTTGGCATAGCTCATGCTCCACTTATTCCCATGTCATTCTCAAGGGAACCCATTGGCACATCCGGGATTGGCACCCTGAGCCCCCACCCCAGCCCATTCTGTGACCTTCCTCCTCTCCCTTCTTCTCCCTTCCTCTCCCCTCCATTGCCCTCACCCTCTCCCCGAAATCTTCACATCCCATCCTTTCACGTGTGTCTCTCTCTTTCAGAACCAGCCATTCCAAACTTCCGGAGCAGGAGGCTGCCGGTAAGGGACAGGGGAAGTTTAAGGGAATCACCGGATAGAAAGACTAAGTTCTGACTTCTGCAGCTGAGAACTGATTTTTTTTTTTCCTTTCTCACTCAGAGGCAGATTTATCCAATATGGAAAGGGTATCTCTCTCGGTGAGTCCTCCCGCTTAGGAGTCCCACAAGAGCTCCCTCACCACAATGGGCTGGTCGTGTGTGCCTCCTGGTTAAGCCCATACAGAAATGTATACTGTTTATCACGCATGTGGTCTTAGACAAGTCACGAAACTCCCCTAATGGGAACCAAAATCTCCATTTAAAAGGCTTATGCATGGGCCGGGCGCGGTGGCTCACGCCTGTAATCCCAGCACTTTGGGAGGCCGAGGCGGGCGGATCATGAGGTCAGGAGATCGAGACCATCCTGGTTAACATGGTGAAACCCCATCTCTACTAAAGATACAAAAAATTAGCTGGGCGTGGTAGTGGGCGCCTGTAATCCCAGCTACTCAGGAGGCTGAGCCAGGAGAATGGCTTGAACCCGGGAGGCGGAGGTTGCAGTGAGCCGAGATCACGCCACCGCACTCCAGCCTGGGCGACAGAGCCAGACTCTGTCCCAAAATAAATAAATAAATAAAAATTTAAAAAAAATGAAAAAAGGCTTACGCAGATCCATTGATGTCACAGGCATAAAGGGTTATAAAAACAGAAAAGAAAAAGAAATGCATCTGGTGTGACCGAGGACCTGGGTTTTAAATTAAATTTAATTGTAATTAACTTAAATGTCAATAGCCATGTGTGGCTAGTGGCTGCCATATTGAACACTCAGTTCTAATATTCATCTATTTTCTCCAAAGACGGCAGACCCCCAAGGAGTGACCTATGCTGAGCTAAGCACCAGCGCCCTGTCTGAGGCAGCTTCAGACACCACCCAGGAGCCCCCAGGATCTCATGAATATGCGGCACTGAAAGTGTAGCAAGAAGACAGCCCTGGCCACTAAAGGAGGGGGGATCGTGCTGGCCAAGGTTATCGGAAATCTGGAGATGCAGATACTGTGTTTCCTTGCTCTTCGTCCATATCAATAAAATTAAGTTTCTCGTCTTAAAAAGAAATCTGACTTATTTATGGATTATTCATGCCCAAGAACCCCACCATACTCTTTCTACCCCACATTTCCTCCTAGAACAATTCAAGGAAATAATAAATAATGATTGACCAGCTATCCAGGAAAGAATGTAAGAATTACTGAGCATCTCCAGGAAGCACAACAAGCAAAAAAGAAAACGGCCGGGCTCACGCCTGTCATCCCAGCACTTTGGGAGGCCGAGGTGGGTGGATCATCTGAGGTCAGAGTTCAAGACCAGCCTGACCAACATGGTGAAATCCCATCTCTACTAAAAATAAAAAATTAGTTGGACGTGGTGGCAGGCGCCTGTAATCCCCGCTACTTGGGAGACTGAGGCAGAAGAATCGCTTGAACCCAGGAGGCAGAGATTGCAGTGAGCTGAGATGGCGCCATTGAATTCCAGCCTGGGCAATGGAGTGAGACTCCATCTCAAAAAAAAAAAAAAAAAAAAACAAAAAACGCCCAGAGCTGCAAACTCCTAGACCAGAGGGCAGAAAACAAAAGGACCAGAGAGTAACACGTCCAGCTTTGTGGGCTGTAGGATCTCTGCTGAGACTACCCCACTCTGCTGTTGTACCATGAAAGCAGCCATCGCTGATATGTAAACAAGTAGGTGTGGCGGTGTTAGAATAAAACTTTATTTACAACTTCATGTTCTCACTCATGTAGGAGCTAAAAAAGTAGATCTCATGAAGGTAAAGAGAGAGTCAGTTATCAAAGGCTAGAAGGGGTGGGATAGTTAATGGGCACAAACACAGTTGGATAGAAGGAATAAGTTCAAGTGTTCAATAGCACAGAAGGGTGACTATAGTTAACAGCAATATATTGTATATTTCAAAATAGCTAGAAGAGAAGATTTGAAACATTCCCAACACAAACGATAAATGAGCCAGGTGCAGTGGCTCACTCCTGTAATCCCAACACTTTGAGAGGCCAAGATGGGTGGATCACCTGAGGTCAGGAGTTCAAGACCAGCCTGGCCAACAAGGTGAAACCCCATCTCCACTAAAAATACAAAAATTAGCTGGGTGTGGTGGCGCACACCTGTAATCCCAGCCACTTGGGAGGCTGAGGCAGAAGAATTGCTTGAACTCGGGAGGCAGAGGTTGCAGTGAGCCAAGATCACACCACTGTACTCCAGCCTGGGCGACAGAGAGAGACTCTGTCTCGAAAAGATAAAAAAAAAGATAAATGTTTGAGGTGGTGAATATCCTAAATACCCTAATTTGAGTATTATACATTCTGTGCATGTATCAAACTATCACATGTATGTCATAAATATGCATAAATATTATGTATCTATAGAAAGTTTTTTTTTTTTTGATGGAGTCTTGCTCTGTCGCCCAGGCGCCAGAGTGCAGTGGCGTGATCTCAGCTCGCTGCAACCTCTCCCCGCAGGTTCAAATGATTCTCCTGTCTCAGCCTCCTGAGTAGCTGGGATTACAAGCTTCTGCCATCACACCAGGCTAATTTTTTTGTATTTTTAGTAGAGATGGGGTTTCACCATGTTGGCCAGGCTGGTCTTGAGCTCCTGACCTCAAGTCATCCGCCTGCCTCGGCTTCCCATAGTGCTGGGATTACAGGCGTGAGCCACCGTGCCCAGCCCAGAAAGTTGTTTTAAAAACAAAAAATTTTATTTGCAAAAACAAGCTGTGGGCTCTAGCGTGCCAACCCTTGTGCTAGGCCAGTGCTTTTTAAAGTCTGCTTGGGCCATCACCCCAACCACTTCTGGCCCTGATGAGGGTCCAGGGCATGAGAGGGAAGGAGAGAGTGTCTTAGTCCATCCAGGCTGCTATCAACATACCAAAGACCTGGCAGCTTACAGACAACACATAGTTATTTCTCATGGTTCTGGAGGCTGGAAGTCCAAGACCAAAGCACTGGTAGATTCAGTGTCTGCTGAGGGCTTTTTTCCTGGTTCATAGCTGGCACCTTCTTGCTGTGTCCTTACATAGTGAAAGAGACTGGGCCGGGCGCAGTGGCTCACGCCTGTAATCTCAGGACTTTGGGAGACCGAGTGGGGGGCGGATCACCTGAGATCAGGAGTTCGAAACCAGCCTGACCAACACGGTGAAACCCCATCTCTACTAAAAATATAAAAATTAGCTGGGCGCAGTGGTGGGTGCCTGTCATCCCAGCTACTTGGGAGGCTGAGGCAGGAGAATTGCTTGCACCTGGGAGGCGGAGGTTGAAGTGAGCCGAAATCGTGCCACTGCACTCCAGCCTGAATGACAGAGCCAGACTCCATCTCAAAAAAAAAAAAAAAAAAAAGAGTGAAGGCTTAATAAGCAAAAGAAAGAGAAAAGAGAATAGTTCTCTCTTTTGCACAGAGAAGAGAGGGGTTCCCGAGTGGGACCCCTGGTTTTGTGGTGAAATGCATGGGGCTTTTATAGACAAGCTTGAGGAGGTGCTGTCTGATTTACATAGGGCCTGAGAGATTAGTCGGACCAGGTATGACGTTTGCATAGCCCCCAAAGAAGCTGGCCATCCCACCCTAATCTTTTATTACGTAGGTAGGGTCTCTGCCTGGCCGGGGCCATGTTGTCTGCTTTTTTACTGCACATGTGGGGACAAAGAAAAGGGAAGAGGGAACCTCCATGTTGAATATACCCGGCTCCCAGGCATCCGTTTTCTATTGGCACAGCTGATGCAAGATTTTAGCTTGTTTATCTATGCTTGCAGCTTGATGTTTCAGGCTGCTTTCTGTTAGAAAAGAAATTATTTGGGGGCTGCTCTTTATTAATAGGAAACCTTACTGAGGACTCTCTTACCCTCACTGTCTGCCTCAATAATTTCTTTTTAGCTCCCGTATTACAAATACCATCACCTTGGGGTTAGGTTCCAACAGCTGAATTTTGTCGGGACACAAACATTGAGTTTACAATACCCATGAAGCTGTCTCTGCTTGTATCTTGTCCTAACCAGAAGCTCCCAGGATTGCTGCATCTGAAGGAACAACCTTGATATATGGCTTGTGTCTGTGTCCCCACCCAAATCTCATCTTCAGTTGTAGCTCCCATAATTCCCATGTGTTGTGGGATGGACCCAGTGGGAGATAATTCAATCATGGGGGTGGATTCCTGCAGGGTCCTATGGGGCTTTGCAGGTGTTCTCCCCGTGTGCAGAGATAAGAGATTGTAAGAAATAAAGACACAAGACAAAGAGATAAAGAGAAAACAGCTGGGCCCGGAGGACCACAACCATCAAGACGCGGAGACCGGTAGTGGCCCATAACGGCTGGGCGCGCTGATACTTATTGCATACAAGATAAGGGGGCAGGGTAAGCAGGGTGAATCTTCGAAGTGATTGACAAGGTGAAGCAAGTCGTGTGATCACAGGAGAGGGGGCCCTTCCCTCTTAGGTAGCCGAAGCAGAGAGAGAGGGAGAAGGCAGCATACGTCAGCGTTTTCTTCCATGCACTTATAAGAAAGATCAAAGACTTTAAGACTTTCACTATTTCTTCTACCGCTATCTACTATGAACTTCAAAGAGGAGCCAGGAGTACGGGAGGAGCATGAAAGTGGACAAGGAGTGTGAGCACTGAAGCACAGCACCACAGGGAGGGGTTTAGGCCTCCGGATGACTGCGGGCAGGCCTGGATAATATCCAGCCTTCCACAAGAAGCTGGTGGAGCAGAGTGTTCCCTGACTCCTCCAAGGAAAGGAGACTCCCTTTCACCGTCTGCTAAGTAACGGGTGCCTTCCCAGACACTGGCGTTACCGCTTGACCAAGGACCCCTCAAGCGGCCCTGATGCACGCGTGACAGAGGGCTCACCTCTTGCCTTCTAGGTCACTTCTCACCATGTCCCTTCAGCACCTGACCCTATACCCGCCGGTTATTCCTAGGTTATATTAGTAATGCAGCAAAGAGTAATATTAAAAGCTAATGATTAATAATGTTTATAATAATGATTGATAATTGTCCATGATCATCTCTACATCTAATTTGTATTATGACTATTCTTATTCTATTTTCTTTATTATACTGCAACAGTTTGTGCCTTCAGTCTCTTGCCTCAGCACCTGGCTAATCCTCCACCCACACATTCCCCCATGCCGTTCTCATGGTAGTGAACAAGTCTCAGGAGAGCTGAGGTTTTTATAACGGGTTTCCCCTTTTGCTTGGCTCTCTCATTTCTCTGTCGTCTGCCACCATGTAAGATGTGCCTTTCACCTTCTGCCATGATTGTGAGGCCTCCCCAGCCATGTGGAACTGTAAGTCCGTTATACCTCTTTTTTAAAAAGTAAACTGACTGGGCGCAGTGGCTCACGCCTGTAATCCCAGCACTCTGGGAGGCCGAGGCGGGTGGATCATGAGGTCAGGAGATCGAGACCATCCTGGATAACACAGTGAAACCCCGTCTCTACTAAAAATACAAAAAATTAGCCGGGCGCGGTGGCGGGCGCCTGTAGTCCCAGCTACTCAGGAGGCTGAGGCAGGAGAATGGTGTGACCCCGGGAGGCGGAGCTTGCAGTGAGCGGAGATCGTGCCACTGCACTCCAGCCTGGGTGACAGAGTGCGTCTCAAAAAAATAAATAAATAAAAATAAAAATAAAAATAAATTACTCAGTCTCAGGTATGTCTTTATCAGCAGTGTGAAAACAGACTAACGCAAACTTCTTCGCTCCCCCTCCCCTCACTACACAGTCCCAGGTTGCAGTGTGGAGGCCACATAGGGAGTAGCAAGGTGGGGAGGAGTGTCTCTTTGTTTTCTTGCCACAGAGAGTCATTCTTTTTTAAGCTTGGGAGTTCTTGGTGGCCATCTGTCTCGCCATGTGGAGGAAGCCAGTCTTTATGGAGAAACACAAAGATGACTCAGGGAGCATCCGGGAAGCGGGAGTGAGTAACAGTGCTTTCAGCTTTTGTTTTCTTGGTTCTAATTGCTTCCAAAGCTCAGCATTCCTTCACTCCCTGCAGTTTTCTTGCCCAATCCTTCTTGAACCAAAAAAACCCAAAAAGTCCTCCTTTGATTCTAAGCTATTCTGAGAATGGATTTTGTTTTGATTGAAGGGTCCTGGCAAACATTATTAAAATGGGTGGCCCTAATGGATATCCTTTATGGACATCTATGCTGGTAGTCACACTCACTGAATTACCATAGTGAGGACTCAGCTCTGATTTTTTTTTTTTATCTTGCCCAGATTCTTATCTAAGGGGTCTGGGGTCTCATGCCCTACAAACCATAAATTCTCATCAGATGGGTTTTATTTAGCCCTATATATCGTGACTTACTTTCCAATCTGACTCTGGCATAACATTACCTAACAAAGAAGAAAATAAAAATATTTTACCCCAAAACATGTTTCTTTGCCATATTTTTAAATGGCCCTGCAAAGCTGTCCTTGGTGGGGGGGAATATTTGCATATGTAAAGGATCTCTGTTAACATTGCTAGATCTTTTTCCTCCAGGACCTCCCAATCCTGAGGAGGTTAACTGAGAATCTAGCAACTTTTGAAGGTCTGAGTAGGAAACATTTGTCATCTATTGTCTCTAAGGGCAGCCACTATAAGACTTCAAAAGAACCTTGGTCTCCACAATCTTTTATCTTAACCTGAATATTTCCTCTCTATTAATCCCAGGTCTTTAGACAAACTCAACCAATTGTCAACCAGAAAATGTTTTAATTTACCTAAAGCCTGGAAGGCCCTGCCTCCTTCAAATTGTCCAGCCTTTCTGGACCAAACCAATGTATTTCTCAAATGTGTTTGATTGATGCCTCACGCCTCCCTAAAATGTATAAAACCAAGCTGCCCCCCGACCACCTTGGGTACATGGTCTCAGGACCTCCTTAGGGCTGTGTCAGGGGCCATGGTCATTATCATATTTGGCTCAGAATAAATCTCTTCAAATATTTTATAGAGTTTGACTCTTTTTGTCAACAAGAGTAAGTCTTGATATGTGATACGATCTGAGGGAGGCTCGGATCCACAGCTGGGGTTTGGACAGCTGTAGCATCACCCTGGGAGCTCCCGCCCCAACTCGGAAGGGGCAGGGCTCCCTGCGGCTCCATAGCGTGTATAGCCCGGGCTGGGCCTCCCTGGGGCAGGTGGCGTCATGGCAGCAGCAAGCCGTCTGGAGTGGCTGCTGCCATCACCAAAGGCCCAACCTCTCAGATCACATTGGGTGTCAAGATTTAACATGAGGCCGGGCGCGGTGGCTCACGCCTGTAATCCCAGCACTTTGGGAGGCCGAGGTGGGTGGATCATGAGGTCAGGAGATCGAGACCATCCTGGCTAACATATCTCTACTATAAATACAAAAAATTAGCCAGGTGTGGTGGCGGGTGCCTGTAGTCTCAGCTACTCGGGAGGCTGAGGCAGGAAAATGGCATGAACCTGGGAGGCGGAGCTTGCAGTGAGCCGAGATCCATCATTGCACTCCAGCCTGGGTGACAGAGCAAGACTCTGTCTCAAAAAAAAAAAAAAAAAAAAAGATTTAATATGTGGCCAGGCGCGGTAGCTCACACCTGTAATCCCAACACTTTGGGAGGTCAAAGTGGGAGGATCATGGGGTCAAGAGATCGAGACCATCCTGGCCAATATGGTGAAACCCTGCCTCTACTAAAAATACAAAAATTAGCTGGGAATAGTGGCACACGCCTGTAGTCCCTGCTACTCAGGAGGCTGAGGCAGGAGAATTGCTTGAACCCAGGAGGCAGAGGTTGCAGTGAGCCGAGATCACACCATTGCACTCCAGCCTGGGCGACAGAGGGAAACTCTGTCTCAGAAAAAAAAATAGAAAAGATCTAACATATGAATCTGTGGAAAGCACCGCCATGCAGCACAGGCCCAGGATTTGAAGTAAACTGAAGAGGCTCAACACATGTGGAGGTGGCTTTGTAAATAACTTCAGGAAACTAACTGAGGGTCATGTACCAGCAGGAGCAACTTCATAAAGGGGCCATGGAGAACCTGAGTTCCTTGCTGTTAAAAAGGAATATATAAATCCTGTTAGTTCAGAGAAAGCACAGATCATCAGTCTGATGAGGATAGGGCTTAATTATGGGCTGAATTACATCTCCTCAAAATTCGTGTGCTGAATCCTAACTCCCAGTAACTCAGAATGTGACTGTATTTAGAGACAAGAGGCCGTTGTGAAAAAAGGAAATTTGGACATAAAAAAGACACTAGGGGCTACGTGTGGTGGCTCACGCCTGTAATTTCAGCACTTTGGGAAGCCCAGGTGGGCGGATCGCCTGAGGTCAGGAGTTCAAGACCAGCCTGGCCAACATGGCCAAACCCCATGTCTACTAAAAATACAAAAATTAGCTGGGCGCGGTGGTGCACGCCTGTAATCCCAGCTACTCGATAGGCTGAGGCAGGGGAATCGCTTGAATCCAGGAGGCAGAGGCTGCAGTGAGCTGAGATCGTGTCATTGCACTCCAGCTGGGCAACAGAGTAAGACTCCAACTCAAAAAAAAAAAAAAGAAAAGGACACCAGGATATGTACATCCAGAGGAAAGACCACGTGGAGACACAGCAAGAAGGCGGCCATCTGCATACAAAGCAGAGAGACCCCGGGAGAAACTGACCCTACTGGCACCTCCATCTTGGATTTCCAGCCTGCAGAACGGTGAGAAAATCCATTTCTGTCCCATAAGCCCCCCAGTGGGGGGCATTTTGTTATGGCTTCCCTAGCACACAACTGTAGGTGGTAAACATATTTTAAACATTATAGTGATCATTTGTAAAAAAAAAAAAAAAAAAAAATTCAAAGAAATATATTTTCTACAGCTTCTCTTTATGATACCCTATGTTCCAAAGGCTACCTATTGTATTTTCTAGAAGACTATAAGAATTTTTCACACATGCTGGGGCCTGTCAGAGGGTGGAGGGTGGTAGCAGAGAGAGGATCAGGAAAAATAACTAGTGGGTACTAGGCTTAATAACTGGGTGATAAAATAATCTGATAATCAGGAAGTAGTAAATACACTAGAAAAAAAATAATCTGTACAACAAACCCCCATGACACACGTTTACCCGTGTAACAAACCTGCACATCCTGCCCATGTACCCCTGAACTTAAATGTCAAAAAAAAAAAAAGAATTTTTCTAGTATCATGCCAGGCTCTGTGGTTCATGCCTGTAATCCCAGCACTTTGGGAGGCTGAGGCAAGTTGATTGCTTGAGCATAGGAGTTCGAGACCAGCCTGGGGAAAATGGTAAAACCCTGTCTATACTAAAAATACAAAAATTAGCTGAGCATGGTGGTGCATGCTTGTAGTCCGGGCTACTCTAGAGGCTGAGGCAGGAGGATCGCTGGAGCCCAGGAGGTGGAGGCTGCAGTGAGCCATCATTGCACCACTGCACTCCAGCCTGGGTGACAGAGTGAGACCCTGTCTCAAAAAAAAAAAAATCAATTTTTCTAGTGCTATACATTTAATTTTTTTTTCTGTTATGAACATTAGGTTTCTTTGCCTTATTGTTTCAAATTCTTTGGAAGCATTGTTCAATCAATCACATGAGCACAATAGTTGGTACAAAACAGTCATTATTTTGAAAGACCATCACCTGATATGAACAGTTCATTCATAAACTTGAGCCTTTTTTTGTTTTTGTTTTTGTTTTTGAGACAGAATCTTGCTCTGTTGCCCAGGCTGGCGTTCAGTGGCACGATCTCTGGTCACTGCAACCTCCACCTCCCAGGCTCAAGTGATTCTCCTGCCTCAGCCTCCCAAGTAGCTGGGATTACAGGTGCCTGCCACCACGTCCAGCTAATTATTTATTTATTTAATTTATTTTTTGAGACGGAGTTTCACTCTTGTCACCCAGGCTGGAGTGCAGTGGCACGATCTTGGCTCACTGAAACCTCCACCTCCTGGGTTCAAGCAATTCTCCTGCCTTAGCCTCCTGAGTAGCTGGGATTACAGGCGCCCACCACCATGCCGGGCTAATTTTTGTATTTTTCGTAGAGACGGGGTTTCACCATGTTAGCCAGGCTGGTCTCAATCTCCCAGCCTCAGGTGATCTGCCTGCCTCAGCTTCCCAAAGCACTGGGATTACAGGTGTGAGCCACCGTGCCTGGCTGAGTTTGTTTTGTTTTAAAGACCTCAGGGATGTACCTCTAATTGACACTACATCACATTAATCAATAGCTGCACTTTTTGCAAACTGTGGCTATGACAGTCCTGAACAAGAAGGGTTTCCTGCTTAAGCTGCAGTAACTTTTCTGACTATGGATCATTGTTCCTTCTGTGGCAGATTTTTACACCTCCTCTAATGCATTTGGGATGACTGTCTCCAAGTAACCTGCAGCTTTCCTCACTGTCTCTCCTGCTAAGAACTGTTGCCCTTTTCTGCTGTTTTTAGAACCTTCTGTTTTCATATCCACCAGTTCCACGGCCAGATCTATAACGACCACCAGAGGGACTGCCTGAGCTTCTTCCACCAAAACTGCCCCGCATAAACTTGAGCTTTTAAGCGGCATTATATATAAGCCCTATACGAGTTTAACTTGATCTTGTTAAGGTAAACAATCTGTTCAGTCTCACTTTCTTTTTGCATTGATAATTTTAATAATGTCTGATCATTTACTTTCTAAAATCACAAATGCAGTAGCAAGTTTTGGCCAGTTTCATTTTCTTAACTTTTCTCCTCCACATGGGACATGCTACGGGAAGAGGCTTAGAATCGTGGAAAGAGGAGAGTCATCTGCTTTCAGTGCTGGATACAAGGGCAGGTTGTGTGACCTTGGGAACACGTGTTAAAATCTCCAGAACTGCATGTGCCTTTCCTCATCGTGAAGACACAGATCTCGAATAGGGTTGTTGTAGATAGTATGACCAACTGTTACCGTTTTACCAGGATTGGTGTGTGCAGGGGCGTGTGTGTGTGTCTTAGGATGTGGGACTTTCGGTTTTAAAATAGAAATGAGGAATTTCCCAGGACACAGAAATTTCAGGGCTAAACCAGAGAAAATCCTGGGCGAACCGGAACAATTTGGTTGCCCTAGTTGTAAGCACGTGAGTTGCAAAGATGTAGGTGTGATTATTCCCTTGATTCAGTAAACAATTTTTTTCTTTTTTCCCATTGCCCTATCAACCCAACTCCTAGGTCTAATTCTTTACCTGTGCCCTTGGGTGACATGTAAAGCAAGTCTCATAACTTTTTTTTTTTTTGAGACAGTCTTGCTCTGTTGCCCAGCCTGGAGTGCTATGGTGCAGTCATGGTTCACTGCAACCTCTGCCTCCCAGGTTCAAGTGATTCTCCTGCCTCAGCCTCCCGAGCAGCTGGGATTACAAGCATGTGCTACCACGCCCAGCTAATTTTTGTATTTTTAGTAGAGACAGGGTTTCGCCATGTTGGCCAGGCTGGTCTCGAACTCCTGACCTTAAGTGATCCGCCCACCTTGGCCTCCCAAAGTGCTAGGATTACAGGTGTGAGCCACTGCGCCCGGCCTTCTCATAATTTTTATAGTCATCTTAGGTCATAAAGACTTCCAGCTGCTTCTTAAAAAAGTCACATACAAGAAAAAAATACAGTGTCAGCTCAGTGATTAAAATCCTTTCGGCAGGTTGCCTGCAACGTGGAGGAAGCGTGGTCAGCTTTTCCTTTATCTCCCCACGTGGAGCTTCTCCTGCTTCCCCCACTCTCTTGCAAGGCTGCAGACCTCTCACCTGCAGTTCCCTTGATGCCTGTAAATGCAGCTCCTCCACTTGGTCACATTACTGAATCCTTGGGGATCCGTCAGTACATTTCCAGCTTCTCTCTGCAGACTTCACCTCCTACCTCCAGGTGGCGCTCCTGCAAAGGATAAAAGCTCCTGGTACATTCATTCTCATATTCATTCTCTCTCCCCCCTCTCCCCCCCTCCCCCATTTCTCCCCTCTCCCCTCTCTCCCCTCCCACCCTCTCTCTCTCCTCCCACCCTCTCTCTCCAGTGAGGAAAGACCCTGTGTTAGCCCGTTCTCACACTGCTATAAATAGCCGAGGCCGTGTGTGGTGGCTCACACCTGTAATCTTAGCACTTTGGGAGGCTGAGGTGGGCGGATCACTTGAGGTTAGGAGTTCGAGACTAGCCTGGTCAACATGGTGAACGCCACCTCTACTAAAAATACAAAATTAGCCGGCTATTGGCGCATGCCTGTTGTCCCAGTTACTCGGTAGGCTGAGGCAGGAGAATCGCTTGAACCCAGGAGGCGGAGGTTGCAGTGAGCTGAGATTGCACCACTGCACACCAGCCTGGATGACAGGGGGGCTCAGTCTCAAAAAAAAAAGAAAGAGATTTAATTGACTTACAATTCCACATGGCTAGGGTGGCCTCAGGAAACTACAGTCATGGCAGAAGGGGAAGGAGAAGCAAATATCTTCTTCACAAGGCAACAAGAGAGAGAGAAGAGCAAGCAAAGGAGGAACTTGCCAAACGCTTATAAAACCATCAGATCTCCTGAGAACTCACTTTATCATGAGAACAACAAGGTAGAAGCCACCTCCATGATTCAATCACCTCCCACCAGGTTCCTCCCCCAACACCTGGGGATTACAATTCAAGATGAGATTTGGGTGGGGACATAAAGCCAAACCATATCAGACCCCATTCCTCTCTGGACCCGCCCCTCACCCCATATAACTACTCTGAATTGTCCAGTTGAAGAGACTGTCATCCTCCATCACACATCTACGGTGGACAGAGGATGGGACTCACAGCACACCAACAGCTTACGTAAACAAACACACAGAAACAAAACAAAACAAAAACTCTTCTAATCTCTGGAGACTATTATTCTAAGTGAAGTAACTCAGGAATGGAAAACCAAACATCATATGTTCTC
Organism: Homo sapiens; assembly: GCF_000001405.40. Lineage (NCBI taxonomy): Eukaryota > Metazoa > Chordata > Mammalia > Primates > Hominidae > Homo > Homo sapiens. The sequence goes on along the minus strand of NW_003571060.1, from coordinate 3,405 downwards.
ACTGATATGTGGGAGCTAAACTATGAGGATGCAAAGGCATAAGAATGATACAATGGACTTTGGGGACTTGGGGGGAAAGGTGAGAGGGGGGCGAGGGATAAAAGACTATAAATGGGGTGCAGTGTATACTGCTTGGGTGATGGCTACACCACAATCTCACAAAGCACCACTAAAGAACTTACTCATGCAACCAAACACCACCTGTATCCCAATAGGAAAAAAAATACCTTCTAATCTCAACACTCCTTTCTTTTTTTTTTCTTTTTTTAATTTTTATTTATTTATTTATTTTTATTTTATTTTATTATTATTATACTTTAAGTTTTAGGGTACATGTGCACAATGTGCAGGTTAGTTACATATGTATACATGTGCCATGCTGGTGTGCTGCACCCACTAACTCGTCATTTAGCATTAGGTATATCTCCTAATGCTATCCCTCCCCCTTCCCCCCAACACTCCTTTCTTACCTTCAGGTGGACAAGAGGCCAAGGGTGTGGGGAAATTAGGTTTTCAGCATTTTCTCCTGAAGTCATGCAGAAATGGCCTTACTGTGAGATCTGACCTCGCTGGCATCTATAATCTTTGGGCCTGAGCAGAAACTGAGATTGCAATGAATCTACTTTGACATTCTGTTATATACATGTGCAAAAACCTTGGGAATACTGGGTATGAGCAGTTTGGAAGGAGAATGGATGGTAGGAATTCATTTTCATAAAAAAAAAAAAAGCTCATGAATAAGTGCACAAGAAAATGTAAGATCAGCCGGGCACAGTGGCTCACACCCGTAATCCCAGCACTTTGGGAGGCCGAGGCAGGCAGATCACCGGAGGTCAGGAATTGGAGACCAACCTGACCAACACAGAGAAACCCTGTCTCTACTAAAAATACAAAATTAGCCGGGCGTGGTGGTGCATGCCTGTAATCTCAGCTAATGGGGAGGCTGAGGCAGGAGAATCACTTGAATCCGGGAGGTGGAGGTTGTGTTGAGCTGAGATCGCACCACTGTACTCCAGCCTGGGCATCTCTAAAATATAAAAATTAGCCAGGCTTGGTGGCGGGCGCCTGTAATCCCAGCTGCTCAGGAGGCTGAGGCAGGAGAATCGCTTGAATCTGCGGGGTGGAGGTTGCTGTGAGCCAAGATGGTGCCACTTCATTGCAGCCTGGGCGAAAGAGTGAGACTCTGTCTCAAAAAAAAAAAAAAAAAAAAAGAGAACCCAGACCTGGAGTGGTGTCTCACGCCTGTAATCCCAGTATGGTGTCTCACTGCAGCCTTGACCTCCTAAGCTCAAGTGATCCTCCCGCCTCAGCTTCCTGAGAAGCTGGACGCACAGGCAAATGCTAATTTTTAAAAACTTTTTTGTAGAGATGGGATTTTGCCATGTTGCCCAGGCTGGTCTTGAACACCTGGGCTCAAGAGATCCTTCTGCCTCAGACTCCCAAAGTGCTGGGATTATAGGCGTGAGCTGCCACACCTGGCCTCCAGAACTATTTTAAAATAAAAAGTTAAGCCAGGTGAGGTGGCTCGCTCCTGTAATGCCAGCACTTTGGGAGGCTGAGGTGGGCAGATCACTTGAGGTCAGGAGTTTGAGACCAGCCTGGCCAACATGGTGAAGCCCTGTCTCTACGGAAAATACAAAAATTAGCTGGGCATAGTAGCAGGTGCCTGTAGCCCCAGCTACTCGGGAGGCTGAGGCAGGAGAATTGCTTGAACCCAGGAGGTGGAGGTTGCAGTGAGCCGAGATCGCGCCACTGCACTCCAGCCTGGGCGACAAGAGCAAGACTCTGTCTCAAATAAATAAATAAAAAGTTAATTTTTTGGAAAGGATGAGATAAAAAGCAGACGAAGGGCATAGAAAGGCCCTTCCAACGCGGCCCTCTCCAACATGAGGAAGCCTCCCACGAGATTTCCACTCACATCTCAAGAAACACAATTGCATCCAGCCCCTTCCTTAAATAACCACTAGCAGTGGGCGTGAGTTTACCTAACTGGGCTAAAGGTGTTTAAACTTCAGTGTGCATCAGAATCACCTGGAGGACTTGTCAAACCATAGGTTGGAGAGGAGGAGAAAGGAAAAGCTCACCTTCAGAGTTTCTGACTGATTCAGTAGGTCTGGGGTGGGGCTCAAGAATTTGCCTTTCTGACGAGCTCCCAGGTGATGCTGACGCTGCTGGTTCAGGGACCACACTTTCACAACCAGCACGTCACTAAGCCTTAGACTAATCAAGATTCATGCCTGAAACTAGAAAAGGGCCAAGTCTCCAAGGAACAAGGGTGGCCAACTGACACCTGAACAAAATCAGGGTTCTCGGCTGGGTGCGGTGGCTCAGGCCTGTAATCCCAGCACTTTGGGAGGCTGAGGTGGGCGAATCACGAGGTCAGGAGTTTGAGACCAGCCTGACCAACATGGTGAAACCCCGTCTCTACTAAAAATTCAAAAATTAGCTGGGTGTGGTGGCGAGCACCTGTAATCCAGCTACTGGGGAGGCTGAGGCAGGAGAATCACTTGAATCTGGGAGGTGGAGTTTGCAGTGAGCTGAGATTGCACCACTGCACTCTAGCCTGGGCGACAGAGCAAGACTGCATCTCAAGAAACAAAAACAAAAACAAAATCAGGATTCTCTTAGCAGAGAAGATTTTGGATTTTGAGAAACACCTGTCCCTTATATCGTACGATGACTTTTCTCTTATTTTTTCTGATCTTAATATAATTATATCAGCTTCCTGGAGAAGTTCCTCCACCACATTTTCTTACTTGTTCATTTTTCTTCAGCTGTATCAATTCTGCCTTTTTTTTTTTTTTTTTTAAAGAGACACGGTCTCACCATGTTGCCCAGACTGGTCTCGAACTCCTGGTCTCAAGTGATCATCCCACCTCAGCCTCTCAAAGTGCTGGGATTACAGGCGTGAGCCACGGCACCCACCCTACTGCCTATTCTGTTAGAGGATAATGTTATATATTTTTTACCATCATGTATTTTTATACTTTTTATTTCCATAAGCCTCTTGCTTTATGGAAAATTGTTCTTGTTTCATATTGCTAATATGTGTCCTTTTTTAGTATGTTTCTTTTTTTTTCTTTTTATTTTTTGAGACAGGGTCTTGCACTGTCACACAGACTGGAGTGCAGTGGCACAATCATAGCTCACTGCAGCCTTGACCTCCCAGGCTCAAGCAATCCTCCTGCCTCAGCCTCCCAAGTAGCTGGGGCCACAGGTGTGCACCACCACACTGGGCTAATTTTTTTTTTTTTTTTTTTGTAGAGATGGGAATCTCACTATGTTGCCCAGGCTGGCTTTGTTAAGAAGTACATTTCTTATGCTAATTATAAATTCTTGATCTATCTGACACCTCCTCCCCCGAAAAAAACACTCTCATTGCTTCACCACACCAAGCAACTGACA